>NC_000006.12:95373820-95525335 GCF_000001405.40 Homo sapiens | reverse complement strand
CATGTCAAAAGGCTCAAAATGCTTGATCAAAACAGAGTCATAGGTCACTGCTGTGTCTGGAATTGGTGGGTTCTTGGTCTGACTTCAAGAATTAAGCCACAGACCCTCATGGTGAGTGCTACAGTTCTTAAAGATCGTGTGTACAGAGTTTGTTCCTTCCGATGTTCCGACGTGCCCAGAGTTTCTTCCTTCTGTTGGGTTCTTGGTCTGACTTCAATAATGAAGCCACGGACCCTCATGGTGAGTGTTACAGTTCTTAAAGATGGTGTGTCCAGAGTTTGTTCCTTCCAATGTTCAGACGTGTCCGGAGATTCTTCCTTCCTGTGGGTTGGTGGTCTCGCTGACTTCAGGAGTGAAAGTCCACTTTTGCAGGGAGTATTACAGCTCTTAAAGGTGGTGCAGACCCAGAGTTAGCAGCAACAAGATTTATTGGGAAGAGCAAAAGAACAAAACCTCCAGCCTGATGAAGCGGACCTGAGCGACTTGCTTTTGCTGGCTGGGGTGGCCAGCTTTTATTCCCTTATTTGGCCCCACCCACATCCTGCTGATTGGTCCAATTTACAGAGAGCTGACTGGCCCATTTTACAGAGTGCTGAATGGTCTGTTTTACGGAGTGCTGATTGGTTTGTTTTGACAGAGTGCTGATTGGTGTGTTTGCAAACCTTTAGCTAGACACAGAGCATTGATTGGTGCGTTTACAATCCTTTAGCTAGACAGAAAAGTTCTCCAAATCCCCACCCTACCCAGAAGCCCAGCTGGCTTCACCTCTCATTGTAGTATTATATAATATTCATTTAACTAGAATAATAATCAGAAGACTTCAAAAGCAAAGTAGAAATTTACATGGATTACAAACCTTAATCCTTCAAAAGCTAAGTTTTCCTAAGTAACCCAAAACCCAAGAAAGACAATGTAGCAATTACCTTGATAAAATTTATTATCTTTCTTTAAGTTAGTTACTAGAAAGGAAAGAAAAACCTATGCAGTCATTGTTTCCCCTTACAGGAAGCTCATTTAGGTAACCTGGAAGTCAAACTTGATGAAAAAGTTCCTTGAATTATACTAGACACAGAAAGAATGTGTCTAAGGTTATGAGAGTACACTATATTATAGAGGAATGTAAACAAGAAAACTAGTATCTTGAGCTCTTAATAACAGCATGGGAAGTTTTCTGGTTACATGGAACAATTTAGAAACATAAAGAAAAGCCAAGTGTATAGAATCTAATTATATTGGAGGAAAGCATTGCTTTTCTAGGTCTTTAAAATAAACATTTTAGCATCAGGCCACTAACACAAGAGTTAGAAGTGGAGAAATAAGTTACAAGAGTTGACAAAAAAAAAAAAAAAAAAAAAAAAAAGGTTGAGAGAGTTATCCCCTCAGCCAAAGGAAAAAGATATAGCTTTTTAAGAGGAGAAAGAATAGAATGCCATTCTGTTGTGTATAGCCATGATTATGTAAAACTGCAAATCACGTGCACTGAGATACAGCAAAATTTGAACTTCTGAGCTATAAATCTGAGAAATTGCAAAAGGAAAACTTTATCTCAAGAAATGAAATTATTATTGTAAAAGAAAAGGGCAGCATTTTAAATTTGAAACTAGAAAAATTAAATACATCTCAGCAAGAAATGTGGCAGAAATAGAAACTGTCTGCAGTTTAGAAGATGGCATTAAAGAAACAGATTTTAAAATAAAAAATCAAAACCTGTTGGCAAATTTATTAAGAGCAGGTCAATACTTCAAGAAAACTTTGTTTGCAGTATATACGAACAGGCCCTGGTACTATAACAGTGCTTCCTTGCCACCAATGTTTAATTTTTAGAAAAACACATAAATAATTTCTTTTTAGTCTCAGCTTATCGAAGCACACATAAAACTTCCTTTATAAGGCCCATCCTTTACAAATCCTCTTTGACTTGTTTAGACTGTTTATATTTTCTTAACCTCTAAGTCATTCATTTAAAAAAAATTTATTATTAATTTTATCTTAGTACAAAAATTCACTATATAAGATTATTTATCATACAAAATTATTTTTCCTTAAATGTATATTTCTATTAGTAGAGCTAAATATATTTTTATCTTGTTTGGACATGACTAAGAAATTTAATTAATATCTATTTGTTAATTTAACATAATTTTAAGATTTTAAATTACATAAAAGCTTCATTTATAAACATTTATTCCATTTACAATTACCCATTTTATTTAGCTTTTTAACAATTACACCTAGATTACCTATGAAAATTGAGTATTTACACAGAAGTAATCATTATTTTAAGTTGCCCTTCTATAAATAAATTTTATAACCTATAAACAGAAGCCAATTAATGCAAGTGCTGAATATGCAAAAATCAAATAAACCCAAACATGGATGGAAAACAAAGTACATACTAAGAAGAATGATAAGTCACCTTCTCCAACAAAGGAAAAAAAATCGCTTCACTGAAGCCCCGACCCAAAGGGAAAAATCCCTTCATGCAGACCTGCAGCTGAGGAAAAAGAGTCCTCCCCAACAGGAGATCTCTCACCAAAGAGGAATATCAAGTGTTTTCCTAAGTAAGAATTTTAAAGTTAAATGGATAGGTATGTTGTTAGTAACTCAGAAGATACAGCTATTTTTATTAAATCAACAATATTAAATTAATTGTTTTTATCAAAGAATTGCATAAACAAAGATCATTTTCTTTTAGTCTGGTTATACAGCTTCATGACCTTAAAACATCTAGCAGAGGCAAATACAAAACTGTTTAATCAGTAAATTAAGCCAGGCAAAAATGTACATTCATTATTGAAAACATTTCTAACTTTGTGAAATGTGAAAACATTTCTAATTTTATCAACAATTTTTAAACCAGTTAATTTATCAAAGACGTACTTAAGTAAACTAAAAAGAAATTTGAATTAATTACTATACATTTGACATGAGTACTCATTTATTTAAATGTATTCCTTAAAAGATTTCTGGCTGACTATGCCAGATTTATTATGTAGTCACAACATACAACATAATACATGTACATGTGGATAAATATAATAAACATATATACATACCCATAAATAAAGATGTTACAGCTTTTACTTTAGAATTGTAGTCATGAGATAGTAAAACATACAAACTCATTGGTTTATAAAAGACAGTTAGATCCAAACTATTTTTCTGACAAAATGAAATAAGGCTAAACTTGAAGATTTTTAAAAACAGATAATCATATAAAGGCTGTGAACCAAATTTGGGGTATAGCAGTTTGAATTGGTTACCAATACAATGGATTGGACAAAGAATAGTTAACTGTGAAAATGTGACTACATGACAAAAAGATAAGAGGTATTCTAACAAGGTCTGTATGGTATTTTCTTGGTCTCATGTTTTAGTCCTTGAAGATAAGAATGTTGCCATTTCTTTTAGTATAGGGAGAGTATCTTTTGCATGGAAATATTTTCTTTTGCTTTTAGGAAACAGCATGAATGTCATTTTTTTTATATCTGCTGGTTTTCAATTGTTTTTACTTAAATAGTCAGTATGCCAAAATAGCTTAAGAATTTTGGAAACAGAGAGTTTAGCTTAAGAAGGATAAAGAGGAGGAACTGTAGAAAGAGGAGGGGGAAATTCCAGATAGGAAGCACATACTATCTCACCTAGCTTTGAGATAGTATTTAGTAGCAAGGCAAACTTCGAGTCCTGAATCTTGTTTGTTTTTCCTTTTTTGTAAGTATCAGTATTATCAATTGAGCTGTCAGTCTTTTTTGGAGTGTATGAGCTTTTAGCCATGGCCTTTTAGTATAGTTTTAAGGACAACAGACTGTTTGAATGAACATGTTACCGACTGGAGTCCCAGAAAATATTTTGTTATGTCTTTGTACTTTGGGAGCCCAATTCTAACTAAATTTATCTAGGTGATTTGGTTTAATGTCAAATAAACAAAAGCCAATTAAATGCAAGTGCTGAATATGCAAAAATCAAATAAACACAAACACGAATGGAAAACAAAGTACATTACTAAGAAGGATGATAAGCCACCTTCTCCAACTAAAGGAAAAAAAATCCCTTCACTGATGCCACCACCCAAAAGGAAAAATCCCTTCATGCAGACCTGCAGCTGAGATATGCCATGAGGAAAAGAGTCCTCCCCAACAGGAGATCTCTCAACCAAAGAGGAAAATACCTCTCTCAAACATGGAAGGTAAGCCACCTCCCCAACCAAATCCCAAATAAAACGAACTCAAAACAACAACAACAACAACAACAACAACAACACAGTTGGGGGAGTTTGGTCCAAGAGAGATTCACCAGGGGGAAAAAGGCAACCCAGGCAAACAGGAGGGGATCAAGGGGCCAAGTACAGGTACCTCATTTCATAGTTCTTCACAGTGATTCTCCCTGAGGTGATTCAGCTTTGAAACTATACTTCTGACACCAAGTATGTTTAAGTCAAATAAAATATAGAGACAAATTTTTAAATTTAAAATGTTTTGTCTGGGAAGCAAGAATTGTAATTTGGGGAATACACATAGATTGAGTAGTCTTCGGCATGTCTGAAGAACAAAGAGGTTAGAGGGATTATAGAAAAAAGAAGTGTCGCTTATTGTCTTGAAAGAAAGTTAAATGGCACCAGTTAAGTTTTGACGAGCTGGCAAGCTTCTATTGATGAGTGATAACAGTGGGTAAAATTAGTCTTAAGAGTCACAGCAGGCCGGGTGCAGCGGCTCATGCCTCTAATTGCAGAACTTTGGGAGGTGGAGGCGGGTGGATCACCTGAGGTCAGGAGTTCGAGACCAGCCTGGCCAAAATAGTGAAACCTCATCTCTGCTAAAAATACAAAAACCAACCAGGCGTGGTGGTGGGCGCCTGTAATTCCAGCTACTTGGGAGGCTGAGGCAGGAGAATCGCTTGAACCCGGAAGGCAGAGGTTGCCGTTAGCCGAGATCACGCAATTGAACTCCAACCTGGGCAACAAGAACAAAACTTGGTCCCCACCCCAACCCTCCCAACCTCGCCCACCCCCCCCAAAAAATAAAAAGAGTCACAGCAGATTGTTTCAGTAGGTATTAGATAAAACTGGTTTCAGGCAGTTGCAGCAGCTGGGCTTGTAGAACATTTAATTCTAGGAGCAGGTGCTATGTGCCCTAAGTGCTTTATTCCCCTGGGCTCCTTGATGGCAGTGGTGGCCACTGTGAGGACGCTAGCTGCAGCGGGGGAGGCATAGCCAGTGCTGTGCACTCCACAGAGCCAGTGCGGACTGGGAATAGGTGATTCCAGCAGAAGCTCCAAGCCCTACCGAGTTGTTGGGGCAGCAGCCCGCCCTCCTGGGCGCAGCTGCAGCTCTGAACCTGGGCATCCCCGCACTCTCGGGGCCCCAGGAAGCCCCCTTCTTCCACAGGCTCAGAAGTGTCTGCTTCCGCTCCCCGACCTCTCCCTGCTCCCTGGCACCCGACCTGGTGCAGAGCAAAATTGTGTCAGAGCCCAGGCACTGTAGCAACCCAGCAAGGTGTGCGCATGCTCAGGGCGGCACTGACAGGCCCAGGCCGGCCTCCTGCTGCCTTCGCTTCCTCCAGATTTTGGGTGCCAACAAGCGTGGGAAGGAAGTGGGGGAGCTGAAGGGCGGGGGAGCTGAAGGGCAGGGGAGCTGAAGGCAGCTCAGCACAGACCTACAGGTGCCCCACAGCACAGACAGCCTGAGCGTCATAAACCGCATGTTGATGGTAACAGGAGGCAGACAGGTTCCTGGGCGGGAAGGGGCGGGTCCCCAGTGAAACCCCACCTTCAAGCGAGGGATGGCCTGAAGCCTGCAGGCCGAACTGTCAGTTCCTTGTGGAGTCCAGGACCCAGAGTGAGAACTTCACTGATGCCTTTCGGCCAATCGGATGGTGCTTTTTCCAGGCCCACCCATGACCGCCCATGGACCAATCAGCATGCACTTCCTCTATTCTGAGTCCATAAAAATCCCTGGATTCGTACACACACTCTTCGGGATGACCTGCCTATGGTAAGGATCCGTTAGGGTGTCCTGAGAGCTGTTCTGTTACTCAGTAAAGCTCCTCTCTGCCTTGCTCACGCCCAATTGTACACGTAACTTCATTCTTCCAGGATGCGGGAAAAGAACTCAGGACCCACCAAACGGCCAGAGCAAAA
Organism: Homo sapiens; assembly: GCF_000001405.40. Taxonomy (NCBI): domain Eukaryota; kingdom Metazoa; phylum Chordata; class Mammalia; order Primates; family Hominidae; genus Homo; species Homo sapiens. The sequence goes on along the minus strand of NC_000006.12, from coordinate 95,519,200 downwards.
GGAGCTGTAACATGTTCCTGGCCAGCTCACCAAGCTGCAGATGGTGACACACTCCTGGACTGCGGGAGTAAAGGGTGGTGACCCTCCTGGGGGTCCAGACCTTGGGATTCCCCTAGCCAGAGATACTGTAACACTATAGGTCTCCTGCTCTTTGCCTAGGCTGGGCAGCTGCCCCACATGACAGGAAGCAGTGGCAGGGCTGGGCCAGCCCAGGGGTGGCAGAATTGAAGGAGCTGTAACACAAACGGGCTGCACCATGCCCCACCTCCCCACCCGCCTCTCGCCACACTGGGCTACAAGGAGAGAAGAGCTGCGGCCCTACTGGAGGCCCAGAACTCGGGGCTCCCTAAGCCTAGGCTGTGACAAGCTGTAACTCTCTTGGGGGGCTCTGCGGTTACTAGCGTCTCCAAGCTTTCAGGCACCGCCATGTTTCCCTGTGCCAGCAGCAGAAGCTGCTTTTGGTATGGCTGGTTCAGCCGCAGCCTTCCACACAGCCAGCGCCTGTGCCGGTGCCTGGAGCTTCTCCTCCAGCCCAGCTAGTGCGCCTGACTGTGCCCATTGACCGCACCCTGATCTTGCTGGCTCACGCACCCCTTGCCGCTCAGCTTTCCTTTTAGTTTACATTTAACTAACCAGCTTTTGTCTATTTTTAAGATTATTTTATTTTTAGATATGTCTTTCTAAAGAGACATCATTGTATTGTGCTCTTTTAAAATTCAAACCCTTAGTATTTGTTTTTTTAATAGAGACATTTTAAAACATTTATATTCACTTTTGTAATGTTATCCTTGGCTTAGCCTTTGTCACTTAATTATCATAATTTCTCTAATGTTGCCTTCTTATGGTTTTGTTTGTTTTTCTCTTTTGCTGGTGGACTAGGATTTATTATCTCTTGAAACAATCTAGTAGTTCAAAATTTCATTTTTGTTTATCCTCACTCCTTTTTAGAAACATTTTTATGCTTTCCTAGTTATTATATTAAAATTTGTGTACTTATTTTAGCTGTACTTTATAGAGAAAATAATTTTACATTGAATCAACTTAAAATGAGGCTTTACACCTTTTTCATAAGTCTATGTTTGGGTTTCTTTTTTGCATTTTCATTTTAGGTTACCTTGTGTATATATATTTTTCAAAATTAATCATTTCTTTATTAATGAAGGCAGTTTAAGTGATTTTTTAAAAGTGTTTACACTAGGAACATAGTTACTGTGTATATTACTCATGATTGTTGGGGCGCTTTTCTAATCTGAATTTGCAGCTATGCTTTCTCTTTAATATAAACGTGAATGTACTGTGTGAATAACACTTTAACCAATCAAGTTAATCAAGTGTAGAAGCTGTCCAATAGTGGCTTCTCCTTCCATCAGCTAAAAAAGGTTCCTAGTGCTATGTCAGGGAGTGAGGCCATTGCTCTGGGTGTTGGCTGCCTCTCTGAGAAACACTGTCAACATTTGACTCGGTAACTGCATGTCTTTCCCATGGTGAGTGGGAGTACAACAGATTCTCTAGCACAGCAGTCCCCAACCTTTTTGGCACTGGAGACTGGTTTTATGGAGGAAAATTTTTTCACAAACCCAGGTGGCATGGGAGGGGATGATTTTGGGGTGATTCAAAGTGCATTACATTTATTTTGCACTTTATTTTTATTATATATGATAATTTGTATATATAATTTATATATAATGAAATAATTATACATTGTGCCATAATGTGGAATCAATGGAAGCCCTGATCTCATTTTCCTGCAACTAGACAGTCTCATCTGAAGGTGATGGGAGACAGTGACAGATCATCAAATATTAGATTTTCATAAGGAGCATGCAACCTAGATCCCTTATATGTGCAATTCACAATAGGGTTCATGCTTCTGTGAAAATCTAATGCTGCTGCTGATCTGACGAGAGGTGGGGCTCAGGTGGTAATGCAAGCGATGGGGAGAGGCTGTAAATACAGATGAGATAATGTAAATGATCAGGAGTGGCTGTAAATACAGATAAGCTTTGCTCAGTGGTCTGCCACTAGCCTCCTGCTATGTGGCCCAGTTCCTTAGAGTCCATGGACAGATACTGATCCATGGCCCAGGGGTTGGGGATGCCTGCTCTAGCAGACAGGTGAGTCTGGAGAAATGTGGTTACCATTGCTCTGGTAGATTACTGAATCATACAATACAGCAACTTTCAACTGTAAGAAATACCTTGACCTAAAAATAAGGGTGGGAAAGGGAATAATAGTGAAATTCATGTTATCTTCTTTGATAATTTGTTCTCACTAACACAGTCTTCTGATTAAAGAAACTGGGTGTCAAAGGTGTTAAATTAATTGTCCACAGATGGGTTGTGGAGGATTGAAGTAATTATTCTTTCTGTTGGAGAGATCTGGCTTCACTATGGAATCTGTTGTTGACCTTAATATATCCCAGGGATACTAGAAGGATAGTAACCTTCAAAACTGAAAAACCTGACCAACATCAGGAGTGAGAGAAGGCATAGAAATCAATATTTCCAGAGTCTAGTATCGCTCCTATACACACTAGAACTAGCTTTGAGATAGGTAGGTATAAAAAGTATCCTGGTTGTCTGGCTTAACTTCCTCATGATGTTTGCTAAATTGTCCCAATATCTTTTAGTTACATCAGAATTATTGCAGAACACTATATGGTTTAAATCACACATGTCATTTTTTAAATCAAATTGCCTTGGATAATATCTCACTTAAATGCATGTTGCACCATTTCTTTTCTTTCTCCACAACCTTTACAGCTAAATTTTATCCATTCTTGCCTTATATTTATCTCATGGTAATTGTAAAAACAGTATAGAATAATTTTTTTCCTAAAAAAGTTATTGCTATTACATTTTCTGAAGCCTTAAATAAATTTTTATTAACACTTTGATCTGTTATACATTACTTTAATTATAAACTTTGCTCCTTGAGTGTTTAAGGCATTAACATTCTTATGCAATTGGTAACATTCTTATGTCATGTGTCACTATTTTTGTCTTTTCTTTCCTTATCTTTAACAAAGAGACACCTATGCAAATGCAATGTTGAAGAACAGGAAAAAAAGGACCCTCATTTAATTTTGGCTAGGTGCTGTCAGGTTTTGCTTCACTCTTTTGAAGATGAAAGACAGGTAGTGAGTTAATGCCCAATACCGTGGATGACACAAACCAGATATTCAGTAACTACTTTTTCTCCTTCTAAATGTGAGACGCCATTTAGAGCTTCCCATTTTTATATACAGAGATCTTTTCTGGGTTCTGCAGTGGAAACAAGAATTCCCTTTCCAAGGAGTTCTAATTTGGAAAACGGCAGTATAGAATAGGCTTAAAGTATCTTTGAGAATTCTAAGGCATAGAGGCAAAATAGAGGACTAGGGATTTAATTTTTCTTTGGAAAGCCTTTCTATATTTGTGTGTCCAAGGTTAATAATGGCTCCATTTTTCAGGTTGGCTTTTTTCCTATTTCCTTGAATTAGAAATTTTTGTTAAGCAAGTCAGACTCATCTTATTTACGTTCTTGTCCATTCTTATGGTGTAAGTCAACGATAAGGATCCTAGTTATGTTATAATTACCTAATTGACTTTTCTAATTATTGAGGATTTGGGAAAAAACTGATAAAATTCTGTAAAATACTTTAATTCTATAAAATACTTTACTTAAGGTTTTTTTTCCCTTAGTATTTGGATATTCTCATGGAAATTTATAAAACAGTTAGGAGGTTGACGTCTCTAGCAATTTTAGTGCTTCATTGTCATGCTGGAAGTCAGCCTTTCCACTGTCTTAAGACCCTTGAAGCCTGAGTGATTTTCCTGAAGACTGACGGCTAAAGCAGAGTACGTAACCTGAAAACCCTAGACTAACTCCGACCTGCAGATATACTTTAATAGGTCCACATAAGGGTTTGTTTTTAATGGTAAAATAAGCATAGCGACATAAGCTTACCATTATAATAATTTTAAGTGTACTATTCAGTGACATTAAGTACATTCATATTGTTGTGTAACCACATCACTATCTAACTCCACAACCTTTTCATCATCCCAAATTAAAATTTACTCACCAAATAATAATTTCCATCTCTTCCTCCCCCCAGCTCCTGGTAACCACTATCTGCTTTTTGTCTCTATGAATTTAACTGCTCTGGGTACCTCAAATAAGTGGAATCATGCAACATTTGTTCTTTTGTGTCTGGCTTATTCTGCTTAGAATAATGCTTTCAAGGTTCATATATGTTGTAGTATATATCATAACTTCCTTCTTTTTTTAATGTTGCTGAATAATATTTCATTGTATGTACATGTCATATTTTGTTTATTCATCTGTTCATGGATATTTGGGTTGTTGCCACCTTGTGACTATTTTGTGAGTAATTCTGTTCTGAATATTGGTCTGCAAATATCTTTTCAAGTCCCTTCCTCTGCTTTCAATTCTTCTCAGTATGTACCTCGAAGCAAAATTGCTAGATCAATGGTAATTCTATGTTTAATTTGGAGGAGAATCTCCAAACTGTTTTCCACAGTGGTTTCACCCTTTTACATTTTTTTTCCAGCAATGTATGAGGGTTCCTTGTTTCTTTTTCTTTTTTTTTTTTTTTTTTTTTTTTTTTTTTTGAGACGGAGTTTCGCTCTTGTTGCTCAGGCTGGGGTGCAATGTTGCAATCTCGGCTCACTGCAACTTCCACTTCTCATGTTTAAGTGATTCTCCTGCCTCAGCTTCCCAAGTAGCTGGAATTACAAGCACCCGCCACCACACCCAACTAATTTTTGTATTTTTAGTAGAGACAGGTTTTTACCATGTTTAGCCAGGCTGGTCTCAAACTTCTGACCTCAGGTGATCCGCTTGCCTCTGCCTCCCAAAGTGCTGAGATTACAGGAGTGAACCAGCACACCTTGCCTCACTGTGGTTTTAATTTGTATTTCTATATAGTGTTTTGATACATTTTGAAAAAGTAGTCAATATTGAAATACTTAAAGATTTTACATAGAAACCTTGAATTCCAGCTTATCTTGAAAAACCAGAAGGTATGATAATATATATTTCTACCTTTCAGCCATGAAGCTGAGGATTGGTAGCCCTTTTAGAGGAACACGTGCTTCCAGACCAGGTATATGCTTCCTATTTTGTCCCAAGCCACCCTATATGGCCCACTCATTTATGTTATTTGCATATCCATATAAATAGTAAGTTTGCAGTCTCTGTCATTTAGTCATCCCAGACAACATATGTTTTCATCTGGGATTAGTCCATAAATATTCTGATACTTAGTTGCTATGGGGTGATATTTAGTTGCTATGCTGTGACGATAATTGACACAAGTCATAAAAAGTAACTTAGCAGGCTAAGTGAAATTATAATATTTCAGTTGTTATTGCCATTTTAGATCAATAAACATAAAGTTTGTGGGCAGGTTTTGACTCAGAATGTGTCTTAAATTCGAATTATCCCCAGGAGGGTTGCTATTTTGAGTGTTTAAAAAATCTAATTAAATTAAAGAAACGTTTGGAAATTGCCTGTAGTACTTGAACAAGCAGTTTTTGTAAAAAATAAGAAAAAGTAAATAGCTATTTTAATGGGAAAAACATCCAGCCATGAAGTCTATTTTTCTTGTCTTTGTAACAAAGCAGGTTAGGCTGGAGTCCATTCACTGCCACAAAAACCAGCCCTCCACAATGTCTGCTTGAATTCATTGAAACTTTTCCTTTCTGTTAAGAAACGGAGAGAGATGAGATAATAATAGCAGTGATATGATGCATTCTGTTTCCCTGCATGGCCTGTTTTTGAGCCCTGAATGAAGGAGGAGTTAAAGGCAGAAATGTGTCGAGTAATTTTGGGCAAAGTCAAAACTGCATTGGGAACAAGGAAAACATGTGTTGTACAGAACTAGGGATAGCATGTTTTGCCTCTCTGTGCAGAAAACAACAATGCAGCCAGAATCTTAAAAATATTTGTCAATGTTTGGTGATAGCCAACTTTGCATGAATATTATTTATTTTTCTGATGAGCACCACCAATGTTGAGGCTTCTCTGAATAGTGGGAAGAGGAGTTGGATAATCAGAAGACAGAGCAAAAGAACAAGAATAGAGCAGAGACTGTGCAGTAGCTATAGTTGAAAGAGTGATGTATGGATCCACATATGAAAAACCTATTTGGGAACAGTCAGAAACAGTAGGGACACTTTGGAGGGTTTTAATTTTCAAGAATATATTCCTGGGACTCTTGCCACTATGATTTTAAAAAGAAAGAAATCTACAAAGTTACTTGGAATTATTGGGTTACTAATTTGTATCAGTTAAAATGCCATCTATTGTACATAACAAACAAGATTCCTTTCTCAATGGGATTGAAACAGTGAGAAAAATGGTATATTGCATAACAGAAGTCCAGAGCAAGTGTAGCGTTCAGGCATAGTTCACATTTCTGCAGTCATTTTGGTTTTGCCCTTCTCCCTAAGTCTGGTAATGGGGAATATGCAGCCGTTCCAGGTACCATATTTAGCTGTGTTCTGAGAAAAATTAAGGGAAAGTATTGCCAGAGGCCTTCATAGACTCCTCTTTGCATGTCATTGGCCAGAAATAGGTGAAATACCCTACTGCGAGAACACAGTGGTTAAGGAAAGGAGAGTTCTGAGCTTAGCTTGGGATATATCAGATTACCCTTCTGGGGTAAGAAGCAAAGGTCACCTTCCCCTCAGTCACATGGGATAGAGAATGAACTTGAACAGAAAAGAAATTCAAAGGTAGATAGATGAAATAGAAGTTATTTAGACAATTGAGAGTGTCCATCCTTCTTTACATTTTTCCCACTCTACTTCGCCCATTATTTCTATATATTATTATTTTGGGGGGTGTATTAGCGTTTGTAAGCTGTCCTTATTACTATTTGGTGTTAAAAATTATGGTGAGAATATGCATGCCAAAGTAAATAAAGGGGAGATTCTGAATGAGAGAGAGTTTGGGAGGTAGAAAAGAGTTACATGACCTTGCTGTAATGATTTAATATTTTATACAGTTTTGCTATAAAATACTGCTTTAGATATTGGATTGGATATAGCTGAGAATTAGAAATCGATAATTATTTTCATTCCTTATTTTTTCAATTCAGTGCTTTCATATGAATAGCACTAATAATGTGTTAAGAATAGATCATATATCACCTACCTTTTCTTTGCATAACTCCTAACATGTTAAATTCAATATAAATTCATATTTATTGTCAATCTTATTTATGAGAGCATTATTTTTCTGAAATTTACTTTAAACATATTTACACATGTATAATGTATTTACTTTTTTATGTTCTTAATTATTAAGAGAGTAAGTCTACACTCATTAAAAAGTTTACAAGAGAATTACAAGCAACAATTTCTGAAATAATTGCTTTCCTTTTATGCAAACAGAATTAAGAAAATGTATAAGGTGATAATTTTTATTTAACTTTCACAATTTGTTCCAATAACTGTTTGAGATATCTACAAAGTAACACAGTTTATGTAGTACATGTCTCCAGAGGAAATAGATTTTGAGATCAGGGTTGCGAGGATATGTGTCAGGCCAGGATTTATGTTAAAGAACATGTGACAGGAAGGCCTCCTAATGGGTTCCACGCAAATATCAAGGCAAGGAAAATTGATTTTTACTGTTAGAAGGAGTGCAAGAAAATTTGTTTGCTGCGTTATAGGAACTGTGGTTCTTGAGACGATGAGAAGGGGAACCTTAAAGAAACATTGTATTGAAAGCTTCAGAAACCACTGAGTGGCCACTTATATTTGCTTGGTAATGGCAGTTGTTTGAGGGGAAAGATACAATACAATTATTCTATTAACTCTAATCTGCTGTAAAAATTTTGCAGAAAGTAAAGAGTATCTATGTTAACTGATAGTGTTGGGATAAGAGCAAAGATATGCATTTTATTGCTAATTCATATTAGGGATGGTGCCTTAATTTCAAGGGGGCTTGTTTGCACTTCATTGAAGTACTTGAAAAAAAAAAGTTTTCTGTAAATTATTCAAATTATACAGTTTAATGTTTTCAATTTGCTATGCTTTATTGATTTCTAAGATTTTTGAAATCAGTGATGCACATTTTTATATTAATCATATTTCTAATTAGCTTGTAGTCCTATATAATTTCTTGATAACATGATAGACTCCTTTAAAATCCTGAAGATACATTTAACTAAATTTTCATCACAATTGACAAGCTGCAATTTTACCTGACAATAATATTTTTAAAGTACCTGAAAATATACTAATTTTATTTTCCTCAAAAAGATTTAAAGTGATCATTAATTAGTACACTTGATGTTTTGTCTCTTGTCATTGCTAGTTATCCTGTCAAGATGGTAAATACAAACCTACAATTCTGTCCATTTATAATGAGCCACTAAGTTTGCAATACTTGATTTGAAATTTGAATTCCAGGTGGCAAAACCCCCATTAGAAATATTTGTAGAACCTGCAACTTATTTAAAAGTTCTATAGATTTAAAATGTGCTTAGCCATAAATATGTGATTATTATGAGACGTTTTACATAGAAGTGCAAATAGTCCATAAATGCCTTTACATTTTCCATGTTAATGTGGATGCTGCTATAAAATCGGAAAGTATGCTGTGGCAATTTTTATCCAATTTGTAGTTCTTTGCTTTTAACATTGGTAACACACTGATGCACATAAGGCTCTCTTGCTCATTTGATTAAAACATCACCATATCTAGGTCCCAAACTGCTCATTTCAAATATATGTCCTATCATTTTATAGTTAACTTGTTTCTTAGACCTAAAGGTATAGAAAAAATTTGAAAATCCTTTTTACTCATAACCGACTTCAAATATTTTAAATCTATTTATTATAAAACAAAACTTTATTTCTCACTTACTAGATGACAAGTACTCTTCTACATGAATGATAAGATAATAAGACATAAATCTTACAATTAAGTTCCCTTATAAAGTACATGTTCCCTTGTGCTTTCTTAATATTATCAATACTTTAATCAATAATTTTCTTCTCTAGTCTCATGAAAATTATTTTTGTAAATAATTTTTGTGTTTGAAAATTGCAAGAAATGCAACAACCCCTGTGGTAGATTTCAATGGATATGGTATTTTGCAATTCATTACATCAAAAAGTGGAATCTATTCTCCCACCCATTGAATCTTGATTAGCCTTGGGGATTTGGATTGACCCATAAAATATCATGGAAGTAACAATTATATGAACTCTGGAACTTAGGGCATATGAAAACTTGCAGCTTCTGCATTTGCCTTTGTGAAACATTGTCCTTATGATGCCATGTAAAAATGCTAGTTTGGTTTACTGGGGGACAGAGGGACACATAGAGTTGTACAAGACAGCACACACTATTGGACATGTGAGTGAGACCATCGTACCCCATCCAGTCCAAATGGAGCCATCAGATGACTGCAACCACTTAAGGTGACCCCAGCTGGGACCAACATAACAACTAGCTACCTGAGCCCAGATCAAGTTGTTATACTGTAGACTCTCTAGCAAATAAATGGTTGTTCCAATTCACCAGGTTTTGAGGTGGCTTATTCTTTAGAAACAGATAACTGAAACTGACGCATACACTTGCTTTAAAGCAGACTCATTAGTCTCCACTACCTTCATGAATCAGAATTTGTTCAAAGTTCTCTTGTTTCAGTCCTATGACATGCCTATAAAAATTGTCAGCAGTTCCTTTTCCCATATGTACACTATTTCTGTTCCCACGTGTAGACATTATTTTTTCATCTCTATGAAGAAAATTCCCAGTCTTGTTTATTTACCACTAAACGTCATAAGGAAACCTAGAAAAAAATAGACATTAGAAAAACAGGAATAAATACATAGTATGTGTGCCACAAATTCCTCTCATTTAAAACTGACATCACTAGTTTATTATTTTTTTCTCATATAACAATGACATCGCTTAAGAATAAAAATTGATCTAAACTGGCACATAAGATACATTTTCTTATATCTAACCATTCTATTAGTGTGGCTTCTGCCACACTGAGACTATTCTAAATTCTTAGTTGAATGTTTCATCACTGCAACATAAATTATCTTGCTTATGTAAAACTATTGCAATTTTGACCTCTTAACCCTTATTTTAGGACAACATTATATTTAGTGCATTTCCACTGTTCTGTCATGTTTCTAAATTTCATTTTGCTTTCAAAGTGTTTGAGGAAAAAAATATCTCTTTTTCTTAATCCTTGATTTTGGTATACCAAGATTAGACCAAGATTTTCAGAGTTAACATAAAGAGCTGAGGATACTAAAAATCAAATCAACATTTTATAAATATTCATCAGAAATCATTAAATTTAGACTTTTAAAAAATTTGATTTTTCTTTTTATTTTATTCCTTTGAAAATATGGCAAAACTGATAAAAATAATTACCTAACATAAAGTAAAAATGCCTGTGAAGAAAAGCTGAATGTAAAATGTAACTGATGAGGAGCATACTCAATAATTTGATAACTCCATTTGGAGCATTAGTCATCTCCAGCCACATTCTGAAATCTCAGTTATTTCAATGGCAGTTTTGTTAAGTGGGATGGAATCTTATTTGTCCTTTTTTTTTGCTTGTGCTTTTTGGGTCATATCCAAAAAATCATTGCCCAAACCAACTTCAACAAACTATTTCCTTGTTTTCTTCCAGTAGTTTTATAGTTTCAGATATTATATTTAAGTCCGTATCCCATTTTGAGTTGATTTATTTATAAGGTATAAGATACAGATGCAATGCCATTCTTCTGCATGTGGACATCTGGTTTTCCTAGCACCATTTATTGAATAAACTATCCTTTTCTCATTGTGTGTTCTTGGTACCTTTGTCAAAATATAATTGTGCAAAAATACATGAGTTTATGACTTTTTTTCTGGGCTCATCTGCTTCATTGGCCAATGTGACTGTTTTTATTCCAGTACTATGTTGTTTTAAGTAGCTTTATAATATATTTTGAAATAAGGAAGTGTGATGCCTCCAAATTTGTTCCTCTTGCTCAAGATTGTTTTGGCTATTTTGTATCTTTAGTGGTTCCATATAAATTCTAGGATTTTCTTCGATTTCTGTGAAAAATGACATTGAAATTTTGATAAGGTTGTATTGAATCTGTAGATCACTTTGGGTAGTATGGACATTTATATAATATCAATTCTTTCAATTCATGAACACAGGATATATTTCCATTTATTTGTGTTTTCCTCCATTTCTTTCACCAGTGTTTTATAATTCTCAGTGTATGGATTTTTCATTTTCCTTGTTAAATTTATGTCCAAATATTTTATATTTTGTTGCCATTGTAAATTGAATTGTTTTCTTAATTTTCTCTTTAGATAGTCTATTATTAGCTTATAGAAACACCTCTGATTTTTTTCTTGTTGACTTTGTATCCTGCATCTTTACTAAATTAATTTATTAGTTATAACAGTTGTGTGTGTATGTGTTTGTGTGTGTACATGTAATCTCTAGGGTTTCCTGTATATAAGATCATGTTGTCCGGAAACAGAGACAATTTCACTTTTTTCCTTCACTACTTGGATGTCTTTGATATCTTCCTCTTGCCTAACTCCTCTGTTTAGAGCTTCCATTACTAGGTTGAATAGAAGTGGTGAGACAGGGCATTCTTGTTTTATTCCTGATTTTAGAGAAAAATCTATCAACTTTTCACTGTTTAGAATGGCATTAGCTTTGGGCTTGTCATATATAGCCTTTATTGTGTTGAAGTACACTCCCTCTTACTTAATCTATTGAGATTTTTTGTGAAAGCCTATTGAATTTTGCTAAGTACTTTTTTTACAACTATAAAGATGATTATAAAATTTTAAATCTTCATTCTATTAATGTGGTGCACCACATTTACTGATCCACATATGTTGGAACCTTTTTGCATCTAAGGGTTAAATCCCAGTTGATAATGATGAATGTTTATTTTATTGTATTGTTGAATTCAGTTGCCAAGTATTTTGTCAAGAAATTTTACATCTATGCTCATCAGGGATATTGTCCTGTAATTTTCTTTTTTGTGGATTGTCCTGTCTGGCTTTGGTATCAGGGTAATGCTAGCTTCATAAATAAGTTTGGAAATATCCCCTTCACTTCAATTTTTTGAAAGAGTTTGAGAAAGATCGGTATTAAGACTCCTTTAAATGTGTGTATAGTTCAGCTGTGAAGCCAACAGGACCGGGACTTATTTTGATGGGAGGTTTTTAAAACTAATTCAGTTTCCTTGTTTGTAATTTATCTATTCAGATTTTCTATTTCTACTTGTTTGGGTCTTAGTATATTGTATGTGTCTAGAAATTTATCTGTTTCTTCTAGGTAGGTAATACAATTTGTTGGTGTAGAATTGTTCAGAGTAGTGTCTTGTAATTCTTTGTATTTCTGTTACATCTTTTGCAATATCTCCTCTTTCATTTTATTTATTAGAGTCTTCTTTCTTCTTTTCTTAGTTTAGTTCAGTGTTTGTCAATTTCATCTTTTCAAAGAACCAAGTCTTTCTTTCACTGATTTTTTTATATTGTTGTAGTCTCTAGTTCATTTATTTCTGCATAGATCTTTGTTATTTTCTCTTTTTTGCTATCGTTAGACTTAGTTCTTTTTCTAATTCTTTGAGGTCTATCTTTAGATTACTTTTTCTTTTTTTCTGATATAGGCATTTATTGATACATACTTTTCTCTTGAAACTGCTTTTGCTACATCTCATAAATGTGGTATATAATGTTTCCATTTTCATCAGTCTCAAGGTACTTTTTGCCATCCCTTTTAATTCTTTAACCTATTTTTTTCAGAAGCCTGTTGTTTAATTTCCACATATGTGTGAATTTACCTAGATTTCTTCTTTTATTAATTTCTACTTTAATACCATTGTGATTGGGAAAGATATGAGATACTTTTTAATCTTAAATTTGTAAAGACTTGTTTTTTGGCCTAACATATTATCTATCATGGAGAAGGTTATATGTGGACTAGAAAAAATGTATTCTGTTGCTGTTGGATGTAATATACTGTTTATGTCTTTTAGGCCCATTTGATCTAAAGTAGAATTCAAGTTCAATGTTTCTTTAGTGATGTTCTGTGTAGATGATCTCTCTATTGTTCGAGGAGGGATACTGAAGTTTCCTATTACTGTATTGTAGTCTTTCTCTTTCTTCTGATTATTTAATAATTGCTTTATACATTAGGTTCTTTATATATTTTGTATGCATATACATATTTACAATTATGTTCTCAATAATATGTTCTCTTTATTATTAGATAATAATATTCTTTGTCTCTTTTTACAGTTTTTATCTTAAAAGTTTATTTTGTCTGTTATAAGTGTAGCTACTCCTGCTCTTTTTTGGTGCTCAATTTGCAGAATGTCTTTTTCCAACTCTTTACTTTCAACCTATGTGTATTCTTGTAGGGACATAAGTTGGATCTTCTTTTCTAAAAATACATTCAGTCACTCTATGTCTTAGGATTGGAGAATTTAATTCATTTATGTCCAGGGTAATTATTAATAGGTAAGGACAGGCTACTGCCATTTGGTAATTTGCTTTTTGGTTATTTTGTAGATGCTTTGTTTCTTCCTATCTTCTTTTGAGGTTTGATGGTTTTCTATGCAGTTACGCTTTGGATTCTTTCTTTTAATGTTTATGCAACTATTACAGGGTTTGCTTTGTGGTTACCATGAGGCTTACATAAATCATTTTATACTTATAAGAGGCTGTGTAAGTTGATAATAGCTTAATTTTAATCACATAAAAACTCTATACTTTCATTGCTCCCTCTAACATTTTATGATTAGATATAAAAATTTACATCTTTGTATACTTTGTTTTTATCTGTAATTTTGTTTTTAATTGTCTTATGAGCACACATAATTTTTAAATTTGTGTATATCTCCTCTACTTTGATCCTTTTCATTTGGCAAAAGTACCATTCCCAGTCGTAAATACACAGCAGTTCTACAGTTTTATGTTTCTGAATGGCTGTTTAAAGACAGTCCTAAATTATAACTTAGTCTGACTTAGATAGTAAAGAATTCAAGAGTGACATTTACCTTGCTATTTTTTAAAGCATTTGACCTTACAGATGATCGATAAAATGTGAGAAGTGTTAAATAATCTTTATTTGATATTACACAGAAACCACACTAAAATGCCTTTCAATAAGTAAAAGGAACCATTTTAGATACAGGGAATTCTAATTACATTGGCACAGTTAAGACCAAAAACATAAAGTAGACATTTGCCACCTTATCTTTAGCCCTTGCCTTTAAGACACAAATGAACGCAAAACAGTTGAATCTTGCTTCGCTCTGAGACAGTGAAGGAATTTCCCCAGTATTTAAATATATTCACATAGCCAGTTATATAAGTCTAAATATAAATATAAAATCAATCTCCAATAATTTGCCATCTTTGTAAAAAGTTGAACATTACTAATGAAGTCCAATTATGTCTTTAGAAGGAGTAAATAGTGACAGCATTTACAGAATCAGGATTACTATTAAAATTTAAACAAAAAAACCAATTCATTTAACCACAAGCCGGTCTTAGTTATATCAGGACTACCCAACAAAAAATATTCTGTCAGTCATTTATGATCTGAATTCTGGTGTATGAGATCTATTAAATTATGGTACATATAAAAAGGTCATGAGACATTTCTCTTTTCTAATAAGTCAGTGACAATTTATTACTCATTAGTAGCTTTTTCCAAGATAAGTGATCAAGTCTGCCCTTTCTGCCTTCTTAGTGCCAAAAAATATCATCATTTTGTTCCAGGGATGTACTTCTTGAGATTCTCCAAATACTCTTTCAGTGTATCCTCTCCTCAGGTGATGCCTTTGTTCTTATTGGAATCTGTGTAAGAGAATCCAATGACCTGACCTGTCTTCTGCCCAGAGACCATGGAGATTTAGCCCAGTCTCTGCTTGCCTTCCTTTTCCATGGTGTGCCACTGGACACACTTCTGAATAAAAATCTTTTTGCCTTTCTCAACATCACTCATATTTAATTCTGTCTTTTATTCCTTGCACTGCAAAGGTTCCCACTTGGAAGCCAGACATCCTGTTCTATCCTTTGTGTAATTGGTAGCACTTAACAATTCATTGTAGCTAAAGTTGTTTTTAGTAATTTTGTCTTATAACCCTCACATCATAGATAAAATTGCTTTATACACCACTTTTTAATATTAGAGAATTTCAACTATGACTCTTTATTATTTATTGAGTTATTTGCCTTCATGTGTTTTATGTTATTAATTAGTAGCCCTTCGTCTCAACTTAAATAAATCCCTTTAGCAGTTTCTCTAGGGCTGACCTAGTAGTGATGAAATCTCTTAGCTTTTGTTTGTCTGGAAAAGTATTTATTTATCTCTCATTTCTGAAAGATAGTTTTGCTAGGTAAAGTATTCTTGGTGGGCAGATTTTTAAAATTTTTCTTCATCATTTTAAATATATCCTTCCACTCTCTTGTAGCCTGCAGGGTTTCTGTTTAGAAATATGATGACAGTCATATTGAAACTCCTTTGTATGTTATATGTTTCTTTTCACTTACTGCCTTCAGAATTCCTTATTTTACTTGAATTTTGATAGTTTGAATATTGTGCATGTTGGTGAATTTCTCTTTGGATTAAATTTAATTAGAGATCTCTGATCTTCTCATATCTGAATGTATGCATCTTTTCTCAGATTTGGGAAATTTACAGCCATTAATTCCTTAAATATAGTTTCTAGAACTTTTAAAAATTCTTCTGTGCTTCCTTTCTGCAAAGGTTAGTTCTCTTGATGATGTCCCATGATTCCTATATGCCTGCTTTATTACTTCAATTTTTTTTGATTTTCTCCTCTTTATAATTTCAAATGTTCAGTCTTCAAGCATACTGATCTTCTTTTCCTGTTGGTAAAGTTTGCTGTTGAAGGTTTATATTAAATTTTTCAGTTCAATTATTGTAATCTTTATTTCTAAAATTTCTATATAAATTTTTTATATAGAAATTTTTATTTTTTGTCAAATTTTAAATTTTATTTATACATCTTATTCCAAAGAAATAGAAATATATATAATATATAGTTTATATATATTATATATAATAATATATAATATATAGTTTATATATATTATATATAATAATATATAATATATAGTTTATATATATTATATATAATAATATATAATATATAGTTTATATATTATATATAATAATATATAGTATATAGTTTATATATTATATAATATATATCATATATAGTTTATATATTATATATAATATATATAATATATAGTTTATATATATAAACTATATATAAACTATATGTTATATATATTACATATTATATAAATATATATAATTTATATATTATATATAAACTATATATTATATATGTTTATATATAATATATATAATAAACAAATATATATATAATAAACAAATATACTATATATATTATATATAAATATATAAATATATATAATATATATAAATATATAAATATATATAATATATATATAATATATATAAATATATATAATATATATATAATATATATAAATATATATAATATATATAAATATATAAATATATATAATATATATAAATATATATAAATATATATTTATATAAATATATATAAATATATATTTATATAAATATATAAATATATATATAATATATGTTTATATATAATATATAAATATATATATAATATATGTTTATATATTATATATAATAATATATAGTATATAGTTTATATATTATATAATATATATCATATATAGTTTATATATTATATATAATATATATAATATATAGTTTATATATATAAACTATATATAAACTATATGTTATATATATTACATATTATATAAATATATATAATTTATATATTATATATAAACTATATATTATATATGTTTATATATAATATATATAATAAACAAATATATATATAATAAACAAATATACTATATATATTATATATAAATATATAAATATATATAATATATATAAATATATAAATATATATAATATATATATAATATATATAAATATATATAATATATATATAATATATATAAATATATATAATATATATAAATATATAAATATATATAATATATATAAATATATATAAATATATATTTATATAAATATATATAAATATATATTTATATAAATATATAAATATATATATAATATATGTTTATATATAATATATAAATATATATATAATATATGTTTATATATAATATATAAATATATATAATATATGTTTATATATAATATATATATTATATATATATGTGTATATATATATATACACACACATACATATTTACCTGTACTCCCTTAGGATGATTATTCTGAATTCTTTGTCAGTCATTTTATAGATGTCTATTTGTTTAGGGTTTATTATTAGAGCTGTATCAGTTTCTTCTGATGGTGTCATATGTCCCTGGTGCTTCTTAATTCTTGGGTATTTGTGTTGGTGTCAGCACATTTCAGATAATGGCCACATATTCCAGTCTTTGCAAGTATTTTTTGGCAGTGATAGACCTTTGTTATTTGGTCTGGCCTGGGATTCTGAATAGGCCAGCTGGTAGTAACCATGGATAGGCAGACCTTAATGTCAGGTTCTTTGATTGGGCTGGGACACTGACTGTGCTCTGAAGTTGAGTCGAGCTGCTGGTTGTGCTTTGTGTCACAATGATACCACTGTCTGGATTCTATGGATTTTATGGTCAGGTGATCACCTCTAATTGGGTCTGGTTGCAGGCTAAATTCCCTGGGTGGGCAGTACTGCTGTTCATAATTTGTTGTTGGGCAAGACTGTAGGCTGGACTTTAAAACTGGGTAAGGCATTTGGGGGATTCTTACTTGGCCAGTTGGAATGGCTGGGGCCAGATGCTCCCCTCTTCAGATATTTGTAGATACGCACATTCCTTCAGTCAAAGGAAGTCTTATACAGAGCATCAGAGCTTTGCGTAGTCACCACCTGAGCACTGGAGTGAGTGGGGCCGCCAGATGTTCTCTTCCACAGATATTCACAGATGTGCACTTGTGTCCCAGACTAGAGAAATATTAATTAAAACACCAAAGCTGGCTGGAGAAGCTGGCTGGACACTCTAACCTGGTAGACTTTTTGATATTGCTTCTTGCAGAGCGATGCTATTGGCTGGTTTCTCTGGTTGGGTGCCTTCACTGGACATAATTCAGAGCCACCACCAAGATGATCCAATCTTGACAGCTTCTATCACCCTCCTTGCATTTTGTATGTCTTGTAGTTTGTTGTTTGAAGTTTGCTGTTGTGTGTAGAACAGTACAGACTGAAGTAAATTCTGTTTATGCATTGAAATAGGGATCCCTCTTCTGCTAAGCCTTTATTGTGGTAATTGAGTCAATCTAGTTAGTTATTAATTTTTGTGTAGGTTTTGCTATACTCTATCTTCACATTCTTCTTAGTTAACTTTGTGCTTAGAGTGTGATTTGGATTCCTAGGGGGTTTTTCTCGCTGTCCATGTTCCAATCTAAGCTTTAGTCTGTCCCTTTGATCTTGGACTTTCTTGCACTTACACCTCCCCTGGAGATAAACTGTTGACACTTGATATTTTCTGCTTGCTGGCTTTTTAGTGAGGAGTGCAGGGCATTCCCTTTTGTCCTTTTGCATTCTCAGTCTTAGGCAGGCTATGTGTACCTCTGTCTTGGTTTTGATGGAGAGCTTTTTCTATTATGTTTCCCTCTCCAGTGTAGAATATAGTTAATCTGGGTACAGAACAACAGAACATTTTCCTGCTCCTCCCACAGAGTTTCTTTGTTTGTTTTTTCCTGTTCCCTTACTCTAACTATAGTGGCTCTTTTATTTTTACTTATTTATTTTTTTTAAGATGGAGTCTCTCTCTGTCACCAGGCTGGAGTGCACTGGTGCGATCTCAGCTCACTGCAACCTCTGTGTCCCTGGTTCAAGCAATTCTCCTGCCTCAGCCTCCAGAGTAGCTGGGACTACAGGCACCCACCACCACGCCCGGCTAATTTTTGTATTTTTAGTAGAGACGGCATTTCACCATGTTGGCCAGGATGGTCTCGATCTCTTGACCTCATGATCCACCTGCCTCGGCCTCCCAAAGGGCTGGGATTACAGGTGTGAGCCACTGTGCCTGGCCCTACAGTGGTTCTTTACCTGTGTCCTGGGGGTGACAGGGTTTGCTGGCTTTCTTCCAGAGGATTGAGTCTTTTGTTCCATGTGAGAGAAGATTACAGCTAAGGCTTCCAGCCCTTTCTGAATCACTAAGAGAGTCTTTCTTTAGATTCATGCATTTACCTCAGTCTTTTCTGTGTACAAATTGTGAGGTCCATGAAGTAGAACATACATGTAGGTGCAAACTCTCCTGATGTCCGAGGCTTTGTGGGGTGGGGGTATACTCACATTTGGCCTACACTTGACTGAATACTTTAGTTTGGCAGCCTTATCTTCCACTTGTCCTCTGCCCCAGATAAGCCACTGTCTTGTTACTCATGGAGACAGTTGACTTTCCTTAGATTTCAGGCTGGTTGATGATGACTCTGTGACCTAAGCTATCTGATAGATTTAGCAAAAGGTATAATTTGTTATTTTTTTCTTATTTTCTAATAAGAATAACAATTCTTCCAACTTTCTATGTTTTAAACAGAAGCTGAAAATCAGACATCTTAAACAGAATCTGCATATAATTTGAAGATCAAGCCAAAAGTATTTGTTATTATATTGAAGGTTTGAAGACACATATGAGCCAAGAATGTATAAATATTTTCTAATTATTGCCAATTAGTTCATTATCAGATTAAGTATATTTTATATTTTAGCATAGAAAAAGAATTGAGAAGATGGTTATATGAGAGGAAGGATAAGAAGTTTAAAATGTAGATGATAAGGATGGATAAAAAGCAAAATATGCTAAACTCTCCAGAATTGAAACACTTACGTTACAATATCATTCCATTATTGCAGTATATTTATAAGGATTTATAATGATTGAGAAATAGTTGAGGCTTTGTTTTAAATGAGAAGGCAAGACTAAAGTGTAGAAGACATCAAAGAAGGTAGACATAGGCATGGAGAATTTATGTAACTCTGAATAATCAACATGGATCACACTAGCTAGAATAGAGGACTTTTGTTAGACAACATAAGAGATGAGCCTAGAGAAATACAATAAGAAAAAATTGTGGAAGACACCAACAGCTTTGAGAGCATATTAAGCCTTTTTCTGTAGCTAATGTGAAGTCATTTAAAGCTCATGATCAGAGCAATGTCTACTGTTTACAAAGGCCATAGGAGCGTGATGCTTGAAGAGTTAAGTGGAAAATATAATAAATCATTAAATGAAAGTTTTATCTGAGGCTTATTGCTAACTGGGTGCTAGGCAACATGCAAATATTTTTAAAGCAAGTTACCAAGAAACAGCTAGAGTAACTTTCATCTTTTAGGGGAACATGTAAAAGACCATGCTATTATTTATAATCAAACACTTTCCACGTTTTAAAATTTATAATGGTTACTTTATTCTGATTATTCAATAAATGGACTAAATTATGGTATGTGGAAAATTATTATAATTATATGAACAATGGAATACACTGTACAGTGTAAATCTTTTAACAGATGGATCCTAAAACAAACAAGAAATAACTAATAAGAGATCAATAAATCAAATTGGAAGTTAAACAAAATAATAACAATAGACTTTTGGATAACTAAGAGTTATTGTATGGTAATGTGTCCGAAACTGGTGGGTTCTTGGTCTTACTGACTTCAAGAGTGAAGCCGTGGACCCTCATGGTGAGTGTTGCAGTTCTTAAAGATGGTGTATCTGGAGTTTGTTCCTTCTGATGTTCACACGTGTTCTGAGTTTCTTCCTTCTGGTGGGTTCGTGGTCTCGCTGGCTTCAGGAGTGAAGCTGCAGACCTTCGTGGTGAGTGTTACAGCTCTTAAGGTGGCGCGTCTGGAGTTGTTTGTTTTTTCCGTCCGGAGTTGTTCATTCCTCCTGGTGGGTTTGTGGTCTCGCTGGCCTCAGGAGTGAAGCTGCAGACCTTCGCAGTGAGTGTTACAGCTCGTAAAGGCAGTGCGGACCCAAAGAGTCAGCAGCAGCAGGATTTATTGCAAAGGGTGAAAAAATGAAGCTTCCACACTGTGCAAGGGGATCTAAGTGGATTGCCACTGCTGGCTCGGGCAGCCTTTTATTCTCTTATCTAGCCCCACCCACATCCTGCTGATTGGTCCATTTTACAGAGAGCTGATTGGTCCATTTTACGGAGAGCTGATTGGTCCATTTTGACAGGGTGCTGATTGGTGCGTTTACAATCTATGAGCTAGACACCGAGTGCTGATTGGTGCGTTTACAATCCTCTAGCTAGACATAAAAGTTCTCCAAGTCCTCACCAGATTAACTAGACACAGAGCACTGATTGGTGCATTTACAAACCTTGAGCTAGACACAGGATGCTGATTGGTGTGTTTATAAACCTTGAGCTAGATACAGGGTGCTGATTGGTGTGTTTACAAACCTTGAGCTAGACACAGAGTGGTGATTGGTGTATTTACAATCCTTTAGCTAGACATAAAGGTTCTCCAAGTCCCCACCAGATTAGCTAGATACAGAGTGCTGATTGGTGCATCCACAAACCTCAAGCTAGACACAGAGTGCTGATTGCTGCATTTACAATCCTTGAGCTAGACAAGAAGTGCTGATTGGTGCATTTACAAACCTTTAGCTACACATAAAAGTTCTCCAAGTCCCCAACTGACTCAGGAGCTCAGCTGGCTTTGCCTAGTGGATCCCGCGCCGGGGCCATGGGTGGAGCTGCCCGCCAGTCCTGCACCATGTGCCCGCATTCCTCAGCCCTTGGGCGGTCGATGGGACCAGGTGCCATGGAGCAAGGGGCAGTGCCCGCTGGGGAGGCTCGGGATGCGCAGGAGCCCCACTGCGGGGCAGGGGCTTGGGCATGGCGGGATGCAGGTCCTGAGCCCTGCCCCTCAAGGAGACAGCTAAGGCCCGGCGAGAATTCGAGTGCGGCACAGGTGGGCCAGCACTGCTGGGGAACCCAGCGCACCCTCCGCAGCTGCTGGCCCGGGTGCTAAGCCCCTCATTGCCCGGGGCTGGTGGCGCCAGCTGGCCACTCTGAGTGTGAGGCCTGCTGATCCCGTGCCCACCTGGAACTTGCGCTGGTCCATGAGCACTGGGTGCAGCCCCGGTTCCTGCCCGTGCCTCTCCCTCCACACCTCCCTGCAAGCAGTGGGAGCAGGCTCTGGCCTTGGCCAGCCCAGAGAGGGGATCCCACAGTGCAGCGGCGGGCTGAAGGGCTCCTGAAGCATGGCCAGAGTGGATGCTGAGGCCGAGGAGGTGCTGAGAGGCAGTGAGGGCTGCTAGCACATTGACACCTCTCAGTAATATGGCATTTTAAATCATGCAGAAATTAAGAATTATATAATAATTATTTGCATATTTATAAAAAGGTAATATTACATTACATAAAAAATTCTCAATTAAAAATAAAACAAGCAAAAGCTATAAAAATTGTAAGTTATTTGTATTTTTCATTGTTATGCACATGAAATGATGATTATTATATCAGTGAAATGCAATGAATAAAATGTTAGCTTCAAGAAGGCAAGGCTTTGTTTGTCTTTTCCAATAAATTATTACCTATACCTAGAACAGTTATTGACATAAACTAGAGGCTTAGTGTATGTTTTTTTAATGTCAGAGGGATGTTGAGGAAACCACAAAAGACTGAGAGATTTAAGTACAATAAAAATGAAGGCTATAAAGCAAATTGTATATGATGAATGATGTACAACAAATCATACATAAAAAAATTAAAGGCCAAATAAAAAAAGAGAAACAATTTTATGAGTTGATATCATAATTAAAAAGCACATTAAATCCCTGAGAAATAATTGCATCCCATTAAAATAAAATATAATAGACTATAAACAAACTTTAATAAAGAGAAAAACTTACTGATAAAAATAATTAAAAAGAAGTACATGTATAACAGTGGTATTCAATGGTACAACTGTGAAAAACAGATTTTTACTTCTTAAATATTCAAAGATTTAAAAATTATTATTCATTGTAATAAAGCTATGTAGGAAAATTAATTTAATTTTAAAATTTGCAGTCACAAGTATAAAATATAGGGACAACAGGACAATGTGTGTTAATCATCTTATAATTTTATCATTATATACTATAATTTAACTTTTAATAATTTAAAACAAACTTTTTTTTTTTTTTTTTTTTTTTTGAGACGGAGTCTCGCTCTGTCACCCAGGCTGGAGTCCATTGGTGCGACCTTGGCTCACTGCAAGCTCCGCTTCCCGGGTTCACGCCATTCTCCTGCCTCAGCTTCCCTAGTAGCTGGGACTACAGGCGCCTGCCACCAGGCCCAGCTAATTTTTTTTTTTTGTATTAGTAGAGATGGGGTTTCACCGTGTTAGCCAGGATGGTCTCGATCTCCTGACCTCGTGATCCGCCTGCCTCGGTAAAACAAACAGTTTTTATATAACTATTTAGCCATAGGAAAATGTTTATTTTGGTAGTAGTTAAAATTGTGACGTATTACAGACAGTCTAAGAATCATTAAAATAAAGACTTGGCTAAATAAATTGTGATACATCTGTGAAGAAAAACTGCAGCAAATGTATGTTGGTGTAAACAATAATTTGATTAATGCATTCACATACAACAAGACTCTTAGATATTCATAAATAAAATCAAATCTTATTTTGCCTATGGGACCCATGTGTTTCAAATAATCTCATGAATCTAATATATTCCTTGTTTGATTTCCACAGATACAGAATCTGCTGCTTAGTCTTTTTCTTATGTTATCTTGACAGAATAATCTAAAAATGAATGATATTACAGAGGAACATTGGATAACCATAATCACAATCGGAATACAATACTTTAAATACCTCTTTGAATATTCAATAGACAAAGCAAGGAAAAATAATGCTATAGAATATTTAATTGATGCTATTAGTAATGCTCGTTAACATTCATTGAATAGTGCTCGTTAACTTGAGCTAATAGACAAATAAAACCTGACAACAAAAGATTCGTGCATTATTTTTTTGCTTTCTTTGTAATTAAGGTCTGCTCTTTTCTGTATTATTCCTTTTGTCACTTTCTTGAGTTTATTCTGATGTATATTCTCAATTCCTAATTTGTATATTTCCTTAATTTCAATAATTTTTCTTGTTAAAAATGGAATTTGCTTACTAGTGTTAGATAATGAATTGATTTAGCTACCTTGGAAAATAATTTGCTATATTGAATACTGTTTTAGCTGCACATATTTAAGACTCGGCACTTCTACTTTATCCTAGGAATATACTCCAGGGAATCTCGTACAGGGAATACATACAAGGATATATGCTCAAGGATGTTTATTGTAATTTTGTTTATAATAGGGAAAAGTGAGGAAAAAAACCCAAAATACATCAAAAATGGCAAAATATATTGTATAATTATCACATATTACAAAACTACATAGCAGTAAAAATTAATGACCTAGATTGTCATATGTAGTTTATAAACATGGATTAAAAAGTAAGCAAAATGTTAGGTGAAAAAAGGAAATTCCTGAAAGATGTACAGTATGGTAGGTTATGTGATTTATATACATGTATACAATTATATATAATATATACATATCAAATATATGTCCTATATTTAATACATTATCTGCATGTGTGTGTTGGTGTGTGTATGGTCATACCTGTACAGTAAAACTATTAAAAATTGCTTTGGGTTAATATATGCAAAATTTAGGATGGTTGTCATTTCGAAGTAGGAAATGAAGGAAAGGGATTGGGAACACTAGCAAAGGGAATTTAATACAAATCTGTAATGGTGTTTTATTTTTATTTTAAATAATCAAAATTTAAGATGCAAAAATGTTAATAATTAACCAAATTGAACTGGAGAAACATGAATGTTTCTTATATCATTCTATTTGTTTAGACTTAAAATGGTTCATAATTTTTTAAAAGAAGTAAACAAGGGATCATTGAACATCCTCTTATCCTCTCATATTCTCATTTTTTTTTTGCATTTGAATCATAAGGGAATTGTGATTTTTTTTTTTTACTAGCAATAGAAGTTTTTTCTTTTTTCAATGTTATGCCTTGAAATTTGTGTAGTTGAGATATGCAAGTTAACTTTTAAAATGTGTCTCACCAATGAGAAAGTAGCTTGATTGTAATGCTTGTCTGAGCTGTAAGCCTTATTTCTAAACCTCAAAAATGGAATTTTAAAAATATTCTGAAGCCTATATTTTCCTTTCAGTAATTTAGGAAAATATCTCTTTTAGAGGATCGTTTATGCTGAACAGAGTATCGATGTAAGTTCTAATACACCAACTTGAACTTACTTGGAAAATATCTTTGAAACAATTGATTATTATCATACCTGAGAAATATCAAAAGTTTTAAAAATATTTTATTATTTGAGAAAAAAGTTCTGTCATCTGTGATAGTTGTGCAATTCAACACAGTTTATAATGATATTTAATTAGCAGAATTTTATATTTGAGAGTTATATCTGAATGAAAATGCAAAATGATACTTAAACAACAAGACTTTCAGAAATAAACCAAATAATTTGTAGGTACACATTAGGATATTTCCACTGTAACTGAAAAATCTAATGCAAATTGGCTTAAATGGTATTTTTAAATATAAAATATAAATCCAAAGGTAAACTCCAAGGGCGATATGAACTTATTTTGAAAATCCCCCAAATCTGGGTTCTTTAATATCCACTCAGTCAACATTAACTTCACCCTGCCCCATTTTCCCATGCTTGCAAGAGATGTTCTGTTTACATTTACTGTGAGGAAGGTAGAGAAACCTCTCCTAAACAAGTGTAAAATAGTAGTTCTCTTCACACTAATTGGGCTAGCTTAGGTCACATGCCCAAACTTGAGCCAGAAACTATCACCAGAGACAGAGGTAAATACATTAGTGTAAAGCTAATGAAGCTTTAGGCCAGAACTTGCATGAACTTTTACTAAGACCTGGAGAGGGTTCCTTAACAGTGTGCTCACATGTTCACATTTTATTTCTTTTTGATGAAAATTGCAAAATGAGTCATTTTAAACTTCAAATAGTTAAGACCTCGGTGTCTCTGAACTCTGACTTACCTTTTCTCACACTATTCTTCATTGCAGATGATGTTCAAGCAGCTTTGAATATTTTGGGAGCTCTTGCTAAGGAGAATTTTGTTTGGGGTTCTCTTAGTTTGGGGTTAATGGGGCATATTTATGTGGTTTGCAGTCAACTTCCTGTTTAGTTGATACAGTGAAGTTTTTGCTAGACTTCTTCTGACTTACTGCCCATTTTGCATAGATTGAATTATGATATTAACATATTTTAACATGTTTGGCACTGGAAAGTTGTCATTAATGATGGAAAAAAAAGATTAAAAATACAAACATAAGGAACTAGCCTGTGGAATACTCTTCCACTATCAGATGAGTAAAATTGTGAGCTGAGGATTCAGTTCTTATCTATAACTTACTAAAATGGAAGATTTTTCTTATTTAAAATACATGTCATACCATAGAATATACAAGTATTATTGAATTATACATTTTTCCCTTTTAACTGGGAATTACATGAAACAAAATTTATCAGAATTCTTCTATTTGTAGGGCACAGGCCAGTAGCAGAAGTAAAAACAAGTTATTAGCAATAATAAAAACTAAAGTTGAATTTAACTTTACTAGATAAAAAGCTGAAGTATTTTTTTTATTCTGCTATAGGCATTGAATCTATAAAACTGTAAGAAGTGGTGATCAAGGGCTATGCATTTTGAAAAGGAGGGAAAATGGGCCAGGCATGGTGGCTCATGCCTGTAATCCCAGCACTTTAGGGAGCTGAGGCAGGAGTATCACTTGAGCCCAGGAGTTTGACACAAACCTGGGACACACAGAGAGACCCTGTCTCTACAAAATTTTTTCAAAATTAGCCAGGCATAACAGTGTATGTGTATAGTCCCAGCTACTCAAGAGGCTCAGGTGGGAGGATTGCTTGCACCCAAGGTGTTGAGGCTGCAGAGAGATATGATTGTACCACCGAACTCCAGCCTGGGAAACAGTGACCCTGTCTAAAAACCAACAATAAAAAAAAAAAGAAAGTAGGGAAAATGTACTGTAGAAATGAACTTCTTGTAGTTCATTAAAGTTATATTATTTTTCTAAATTCTGTTATATTTGTAGTACCTTTAGTCAGCTTTAAAATTTTTAATTTATTATTAATTTTATTTTAAATAAATATTTAGTTGTACCTATTCACAGTTTGTATTGTTTTTTAAAAGAGATCCCCCACATTTTATAGGCTTTTGAGCCCCAAAGAACCTTGCTCCACCTGAACAAAGGAATGAAATGCATAGGTAGACTACATAGGCCAATCAGGATTCTTCTTTGGAAACAAAAATAGGATATGTTACTGAACATGATTTGGGTTATTCTGGAATGGGAGGAAATAGAGGCTGGGTGACCTAATAGGAGTTTTCAAGTCAGGATAAATGAAATAAAATAGATTCAAATGAGTTAATTTACAGTTTTAAAAATACCAGCAAAGTGTAAAGAAGAGGAGAATCTTCCACATGTGTGCAAGAGCAAAGAAGATTCTACATGTTTTATGGCCATATTCCTTCTTCTTTTTTCCTCCAGTCAAAAATATACATTAATGAGAAATGTATAATACATAAGTCTGAGTTTATAAAATAACTAAATAAAAGGAAGTGTTAAGTCAATAATGTAAACATTCTGATTTTAAAAAGAATGCATATCAAGATAATTGACAGAGATAATCTGTTTTCTTTATAAATCTTGTCTCAGCAGAAAACATATGGATCACTGCAAATAGAATAATTCTTGATGTGTTTAGTGACATAGACAAAAGGGAGACTATAAAGGCTACTAAAATAACCTGGAGTCGGCAGCAGCTGACCTGGTACCACCCTTAGACTTAAAGGAGGAAGAGATAGCATGGTTATTGGAACCCAGAGATAGCATGGTTATTGGAACCCAGAGGAATACAATGGCATTTGGGTGATGTTTATTGAAAGGATTAGCTAGTTTGACCTCATTTTGAAAGGGAAGGAAGAAGCCAGGTAATATTCTGACCTTACTCTCTGCTCTTCCTCTTTCTTTCTTCCTCCAAACTGCTATGTTTCTCCGCTGATTGGACTCAACTGGAAGCCAGATGAGTGAGAAACCATGACTGTGTGATTCATACAGATGAACCTCCTGGGTTAGAAAGAAGGACAGATAATAGATATTGAGGAGCAAAATAGCACTAGATTCTAATGAATGAATGATACCCAAACAATTTCAATTTAACTATGTGAGTGAAACAGATTATTTGTGGTAAATAAAAGGTTAAATTCGTTGTGTACTTCAGTTGATTGGCTATCTAATGACATGGAAAATGGATAGTCACATATATTCAGCTGTTCATAAGACAGTTATTTTTCTGAGTTGGGTCACCTGCTTCCAAGAAATATGTATCATCATTCAGATTTCTCTCATATTCATTATTTCTGATGTTATTCCTTTTTCCCATTGACACTTTCAATATTATACATAATTATATTTGAAGAATCTACACAGTTCATTTCACAATTGCATTCATATCAAAAAAAGATACGAGAAAATTCTTTTCGAAGAGAAAAAGAATAGTTTGTTACTTCTTTAGCTCAGTTCCTTAAAGAGATAATAAAAGGAGTACACTATAATTTAAATTTACAGAGTGATTATAAGGAATTTTTAATACAATTATTACATTCACTTGTGCTGTTAAAATAGAACACATTTTAAGAAAAATGTTTAATCTATTTATTTGATTCTTCCCAAATGAAAAGCTCAATCTAGATCCTAAAGCAAGATTTCACATTTCCCCCGATAAGAGAAATGTACAATGAGCTTCAGTTCATTTTATCCAAAAATAATTAAGGAATTATAGATTATACGACAAATGAGATAAATGAGATTCAGTCTAAAGAGTTTCATGTATATGTTAACTGTGTGAGTGTGTGTGTGTGTATATGTGTGTGTGATATATATCTACCACATATGTGGTAGATATATGTGATATCACAAATACCACATATGGGATATCTATACATACATATGTGTATGTATGTGTATGTGTATATATATATATAAATACACATCAAAGGTGGTGTAATCACACATTTAAAAAATACAATGGACTGCTTTCTGTGTTCCTTCGTGAGCACTCATTGGAAGAAAGCTTTTTCAGAGGAAAAAGAAAAAAACCTCTGCCAATTTGTTTATTAATTATCACTGATTGCTTTTACAAACAGTTGTTTTCCTCCATCATTATTTCAGAAGGATTAAATTGTTTTAAGGATATTTTCATCTTCAGCCTTGAAAAAGCTGTAGCAAACAAAATCAGCCCTTTTGGTCCCACTTATATAACTTCACTCACTTTGTGCCACAGCTGAGTCTGGGATCATGTGGCTTCTTGTTCTGGGGATTTCCAGCATTTTTGCCATTATTTAAATAAATGAGGCACTGCTTGTTCATTTCTACCTTCATTCTTACTCCCTTTTCCCTTCTTTCTCTACTTTTATTTTAAACAAATATTTATTGAGCACTGACCCAGGAATGGCTCTGGTGATATGATTGTGACATTATATAGAAGATCTCTTACTTCAAAGCATTTTTATGTCGTGAGGATACGGACAGGTAGAGAGGCAGGTTAATGAAACGTGACAAATACTGTGGTACAGGAAGTTCAGGGTGCTGGGTGCACACATAGCACTCTCCTAACCTAGATTTGGCTTCCTGGAAGAAGTGATATCCAAGTTGAGATTTCAGTGATCAATAATAAGTAAGAATAAGTAATAATCATCCAAAAAGAAACAGCTGACAGGTCAGGGAGGGAATTCCAGGCAGGGAGATCCATATGAACACTAGTGGAGGGGCAGGAAAAGAGAGAGAACTTGAACTAGTTGAATGAGATTTTTAATCTCCTCATTTCATTTTGCAGTGTCAAAGATAACTCATATGATGATTCTATTTCCTGGAAACAGGTTGTGCCACATCTCTTGAAGTCTGTTTCAGGATCTTTAAAGCATATTTTTTTTTCCCTCTAAAGAGTATCCCTTTACAAGCTTTCAGTCTGTAGTAAGCCAATTCTATATGTTTGGGGTGACTAATCATGGTTTGCCATTTTATAATTCCTAACACTGTTCCAAAATCCAGGGCAAAAGCATTGATTACTAAGTTAGTTCTCATCTGAATATTGATAAAACCATCACTCTATATTTTTGCTTTAAGTAGTGATGGGATGACATCTTCAAGTTTCAGCATCTCTTTTAGGTTTGGTGTCTCTAGCACGTGGTTTTCCTCGTAAGTAGATTCATATGAGCACTAACCCACATGGGATATCATAAAGCAGTTGAAGTTAAGAGAAAACTGTTTCCCAAAGAAAATACATGTTCAGATGGTATGTACTGTCCTTCAGCTATGTGGTTACTATGTAGATAATCTATCGAATTTTAGATAGCAGAAAATGTGTATATAACACACAGAGACCTATTTTTACAGTGATAACTGGGATGTTGTCTTTGACATATTCCACTGCACGTTAACAATGTTTTCCTAAAAGTGAATTTCCCACATCAATTAGGTATTTTTACCGTTCTTTAAAATTCTAACATCTATTATTAACAATTATTTAGCACTTTCATTATGTCAGGCATTGCATCATCTAATTTAATTGTCAAAACCTTATGAAGTTATAATTATTATTCTATATTTGAGGAAACTCAGACCCAGGAGGTTAAGTACTTTGCCTGAAATCACAAACCTAGGCTGTAAATGCAAGTGGTTTGTCTCCAGAATCTGTACTTCTAACCAAGGACTCCCTCTATTACCTCTCAGAGAGGAAATAGGCAAAGTAAGTGATTCTGATGACAATCAAAATTGCAATCATGATACACATGAAAAAATTTTACATTATGATGACTGAGACTTGCTTATATGAAATTAAGCTTGATGAACAATTAAAACACTAATTTGCCTTTCCTGTGTGTATCAATATCATTAAATTGGAAACTTTCTTGTATTTTTGTATTTTTTGTTACACTCAGCATTTATTCCTCTTCAAAGATGTTAAGTCTTTTATTTTTCTCTATTAATGCAGCTGTGGGCATAGGTGACTCCACCTTTAAAGTACTCAGGAAGCTTGAGTGGCATCTAAATATAACCATCTGGTAAATGATTTTCTGGAATCCATTTATAGAATCAATTTAGAGCTGTGCACACTATAATTTTGAAATGTTTTCATTCCAGGAAATGATAATTTTATTTTGAATAGTTATGCATGAAATACTTCGTGATTGTATGGTTCCATTAGTAAATGTGCTGCTTCCGTCTTGCCAACATTAATCACAAATAAAGATGCCTATCATATTGGCTTTCTTATTACACAGTATTTATTATGATTATTGCTATTGATTTTGTTAATGCAGAAGCATTCTGCTTTTATATAATTTTTGAAATGCATTCTGAAAAATTGTTTAAAATATAAATAAGTAAAATTTACAAACACTATTGAGTATTCCATTTTTTAGAGCAATATACATTTACTGAGAGGACTTTATTTGTGGATAATGCATTTGATGCATTGTATATAATTAGAGCAAGGAAAATTAGTTCAAGCAAAAGTAGAAGCTTGACTTTATTATTCTCACATCTCATTTTTCATGGCTTTCAGAATGCCCCATCTGAAGCCAATCATTCATCTCATGCTAATTTTGGGATTCCAGCACTATATCTATAAGGTTTAATCTCTCTCTTGCTTGAGCAAGTTACTTCTCTCTGCTCCAATTAAAGCTTAGTTCTTCTCTGTCCTTTATTAATTAATTTTCATATTAGAAAATTTTCAAATAATACAAATTGCTAATGGTTTAATGAATTATGTGTCCTTACACATTGTATGAAAACTCTTCATTTTGAGGCCTGGCACAGTGGCTCACGCCTGTAATCCCAGCACTTTGGGAGGCCGAGGCAGCCAGATCACTAGGTCAGGAGATCGAGACCATCCTGCCTAACACGGTGAAACCCCATCTCTACTAAAAATACAAAAAAAAAAAATTAGCCGGGCACGGTGGAGGGTGGCCTGTAGTCCCAGCCACTCGGGAGGCTGAGGAAGGAGAATGGCGTGAACCCGACAGGCGGAGCTTGCGTGAGCCCAGATCGCGCCACTGCACTCCAGCCTGGGCAACAGAGCGAGACTCTGTCTCAAAAAAAAAAACAAAAACAAAAACAAGAAACTCTTCATTTTGATACAGGGCTGTTGGAAAGGGTAATACTTTAATCTTAAAAGACAAATATTTAAATGTGCTATATTGGCTCACATAAGAGGTATAGCCATATAAGTTTTGACTCCAGGTATTTTTACAGAATTATTTTTATATAGATATTTATTTATGGTTATATGATTATCCCTGAAGGAGGATATCGTATAATCAAGAGCTTTGAGAAACATGTCAAACAGGGTTGGAACAAGGTTGAGGTTAGTGAGAAACTTGGCTGGGGCACTATATATATATATACACACACATATATGCATATATATGTATATATACACATATATACATATGTGTATATGTATGTATATGTGTATGTGTATATACACATATATGTGTGTATATATGCATAGATGCGTGTATATGTGTATATATGTATATATGCATATATATGCATGTGTGTATACATGCATAATATGCATATGTGTATACATGCATAATATGCATATGTGTGTATACATGCATAATATGCATGTGTGTGTATATGCATAATATGCATGTGTGTGTGTCTATGCATAATATGCATATGTGTGTGTGTCTATGCATAATATGCATATGTGTGTGTCTATGCATAATATGCATATGTGTGTGTGTCTATGCATAATATGCATATGTGTGTGTGTCTATGCATAATATGCATATGTGTGTGTCTATGCATAATATGCATATGTGTGTGTGTCTATGCATAATATGCATATGTGTGTATATGTGCATATATATGCCTGTGTGTATGTGCACATATATGCCTATATGTGTTTATATGCATATATGCAGATATGTGTGTATATATGCATATTTTGCCTAGCATGAGTGCATTTTATTTTATTTTTTATGTTTTTTAATTTTAAATTTTTGTGGGTACATAGTAGGCATATATATTTATGCGTTACATGAGACATTTTGATACAGGTATAGGATGCATAATAATCACATCAGGGTAAATCATATCAGATTGTTTTGGGAAAAGAAGGAAATAAAAATAGAGCTACTATGTGATGCAGCAATCCTACGGTAGGTCTATTTTCAGTTTTTATGAGGAACCTCCAAACTGTTCTCCATAGTGGTTGTATTACTTTACATTCTTACCAACAGTGTATGAGGATTCCCTTTTTCCCACATCCTCATCAGCATTTGTTATTGCCTGTGTTTTGGACAAAAGCCATTTCAACTAGGGTGAGATGATATCTCATTGTAGTGATTTTTATTTATTTATTTATTTTTTAAGATAGACTCTCCCTCTGTTGCCCAGGTTGGAGTGCAGCAGCATGGTCCCGGCTCACTGCAGTCTTAACCTTCCCTGGCTCAAGTGATTCTCCTGCTTCAGGTTCCCGAGTAGCTAGGACTACAGGTATGTACAGGCTAATTTTTGTATTTTTTGTAGAGACAGGGTTTCATCATGTTTCCCAGGCTGTCTTGAACTCCTGAATTCAGGTGATCTACTCATCTAGGCTTCCCAAAGCACTGGGATTACAGAAAACAGCCACAGTACCCAGCCTTCAAAGTAGTTTTGATTTGAATTTCTCTGATGATCAATGATGTTGAGTACGTTTTCATATACTTGTTTCGTACTTGCATGTCTTCTTTTGAGAAATGTCTATACGGATATTTTGCCTGTTTTTGAATCAGATTACTAGATTTTTTCCTACAGAGTCGTTTGAGCTTTTAATATATTCCGGTTATTAATCCCTTGTAAGACAGTTTGCAAATATTTTCTCTCATTCCATGGACTGTTGTTTCACTTTGTTGATTTTTTTTCCTTTAGCTGTGCAGAAACTTTTAAACTTGATGTGATCCCATTTGTTCATTTCTGCTTTAGCTGCATGTGCTTTTTGGGTATTCCTCAAGAAATCTTTGCCAGTTCAATGTCCTGGAGAGTTTCTCCAAAGTTTTCCTTTAGCAGTTTCATAGTTTGAAGTCTTATATTTAAGACTTTAATCTATTATGTTTGATTTTTGTATATGGTGAGAGATAGGAATCTAGTTTCATTCTTCTGCGTATGAATATTTAGTTTTCCAAGCACCATTTATTGAACCTTTCTAAAAGTAAGCTTCTTTAGAGGGACAACTAGATTTTAATGCTGCAGCTGAAATTTAGTTTCAAAGAGTATAAGATGTTTACTTCACAAATTACATGACCTCTTTCTCTTATTTTTGTTTTTATCATTAGAAAACTGTGGAATCTGTTTTTTACTGGCACTTTCCAGGAAAAAAAAAAATTGCATAGGTTTCTCATTTTCTGGTTGGTTTCTCATGTAAGTTTCAGTGTGAATTTGAGAACACAGCAGAGTTTTAAAGATAAATTATTGGTGGGGAAACAAAGAATTTGGTTAAGCTGTGAGTCATCTTGTATCCAAATTACATGAAAAGGGGAAAATATATTTTGGGGGGATATCTTTCACACATACAAAAAACTTGTGCAATCGATTTTGCTTATGAATGTGACTTAGAAGAAATGTCAGTACCTGAAAAAGAAATAATTGTGGTGAATAATTTTTTGGTGTGAGGGGACAGGGTCTGACTCTTGCCCAGGCTAGAGCTCAGTGACACAGTCACAGTTCACTGCAGCCTTGGCCACCATGCCTGGCTAGTTTTTTGTAGAGATGGGGTTTTACCATGTTTGCTAGGCTGGTCTCAAATTCCTGGATTCAAGCAATCTTCCCGCCTCAGCCTCCCAAAGCACTGGGATTATAGGTGTGAGCCACCACACCCAGCCCGGGAATATTTTTAAGTTGACTTAAAACTTTACGTTTTGGTGAGAGAAAGCATTTATATTTAAATATACATTGTTAAAATTTTGAAACTTACATATTTCCCTAAAAAGAAATAAAAGTATCTTAACTTATTTTTCAAATTCATGTCACAAGAAAATAATTTAGTAAACAGAAATCTGTCATATTCACTAGAAAAATTAGGTCTTATATTTAGTTTTCAAAACAAATAAGTGGAAACTCTAAAGCAAGGTTAAATTTTACCTTTCCTTTGTGTACAATAACATAGCTAATATTTATAGAACAGGACTATGGTGGAGGCATTATCTATCAATTTTTAGAGTTTAATATACAATTGTATAACTGAATAAGTGAATATTTAAGAGAGGAAGCTTCTTAGTCATAATTTAATTGCTTTCCTCCAATTTAGACGTAATACAATTGACATAAACATACACCTGCAATGTGTGATAAGTTTTATGTTGTGGTACTATTGAAGCAGAGGAATAGCTAACACAGGCTGAAGTGGTTTAGTAAAAAAAAAAAAACAACAACTTTAAAATACGCTGGCTCTTGCAGTCATCCAAGTAAAGAAAGAAAGAAATACATTCTGAATAGAAGAAATAGTACATTGATATTTATTGAGGTAAAAAGGTCTGTACCACATATGTAGCTAATAAC
The DNA here is from genome assembly GCF_000001405.40 of Homo sapiens. Classification (NCBI taxonomy): domain Eukaryota; kingdom Metazoa; phylum Chordata; class Mammalia; order Primates; family Hominidae; genus Homo; species Homo sapiens. The sequence continues at coordinate 95,483,409 of NC_000006.12, read as the reverse complement.
AGAATCCAAAAGTCAACTGGCTTTAATCGTGAGTCCATATTTTATGTCACCTAATGGAAAGTAAAAAAAATAAATAGTGGCCTACCAGTTGTAGATTCGTCTCGGCTCTGTTTCTTGACTCTTTACGTAGCTCTGGTTTCTTCCTTGAACAAAAAAAATGGCTACCAATAGCAGCTGGACAATGAGTTTATATGTTGAAATCTAATGAAAAAGAAAGGATACCTCTCACACAATATTGGAATGTAAATCTGTATTAGGTCATTCTTTCAATGAATACAAAGAAATACCTGAAATAATAATTTATAAAGAAAAGAGGTTTAATTGGCTCATGGTTTTGAAGGTACAGATGTCATAGCAGCATCTGTTTCTGGGGAGGCCTCAGGAAGCTTCCATTCATGACAGAAGGCAGAGGAGGAGCACGCACATCACTTGGCAAGAATGAGAGCAAGAGAGAGAGGTGGGGGGAGATGCCACACACTTTTAAATGACCAGATATCGTGAGAACTCACTATCACAAAGACGGCACCAAGCCATGAGGGATCTGCTTCCATGATCCAAACACCTGTCCCAGGTCCCAACTCCAGCAGTAGGATTTACAATTCAACACGAGATTTGAGCAGGGACAAATATCTAAACTTTATCAAAATTCTTGAGACTGATTGGGTCAATTTAGGCCATGTGTTTAGATCTGAATGCAACTCAATTGCCAGACAAACGTTTGAGTTAATTGGTTCTAGCTTGAGATACATTGCCTTTGGCAAGGCGGTTTGAGTTTATCATCACTGACTAAGACAAATAAGTGTCATCTTGAATCTAGCATTGGGGTTGGCTCCCATGAATCAGAAATTTAATGGAAAAGGTGCATAACTTGTTATTGCTGGTACTGTCAGTAGTTTCTACACACAGGTACTGCACTTCCTATTCCTCTTATTCTGTTTTATTTTGTTTTTACATCACTATTTATGAAAAGTTATATATTATTTTATTTTTCTATTTATATTCTGTCTTTCTACAATGAAATGTAAACTCAACAAAAACGGATATTTTTGAAATCTTTTCTAACTGATAAATCCGTAATTGATAGTCAATAAAATGTACTTTAAAAAAATAATTTCAAGTTTTATTTTAGATTCAGAGGGTACATGTTTAGGTTTGTTACATGAGTATATTGCATGATGTTGAGATTTGGGGTAAAATTGAGCATGTCACCCAGGAAGTGAGCATAGTACCCATCAATCCTTGTTTTTCAATCCTTGCCCTCCCCCTTTATCCCCCTTCTAGTAGTCCTCAGTGTCTACTGTTGCCATCTTTATGTCTGTGAATAACCAATGTTTAGCTCCCACTTATAAGTGAGAATAAAGGGTATTTGGTTTTCTCTTCCTGCATTAATTCACTTAAAATGATGGCAGCTAGCTACATCCATGTTGCTGCAAAGGGCATGATTTTGTTCTTTCTTTCTTTCTTTATTTATTTATTTATTTATTTATTTATTTATTGAGACAGAGTCTTGCTCTGTCGCCCAGGCTGGAGTGCATGGCGCAATCTCAGTTCACTGCAAGCTCCACCTCCCAGGTTCACGCCATTCTCCTGCCTCAGCCTCCTGAGTAGCTGGGACTACAGGCACCCGCCACCACCCCCAGCTAATTTTCAGTATTTTTAGTAGAGACGGGGTTTCACCATGTTAGCCAGGATGATCTCGATCTCCTGACCTCATGATCCGCCCGCCTCGGCCTCCCAAAGTGCTGGGATTACAGGCATAAGCCACCGTGCCTGTCCCAATTTTGTTCTTTTTTATGGCTGCGTAGTATTCCATGGTGTATATGTACCACATTTTATTTATCCAGTCCACCATTGATGGCACCTAGGTAAATTCCATGTATTTGCTATTGTGAATAGTGCTATGATGAACATATGAGTGCATATGTCTTTTTGGTATAATAATAATAACCACCTGACTGTTGTGAGATGATATCTCGTTGTGCTTTTGATTTGCATTTATCTGATGATTAGTGATATAGAGCATTTTTCATATGTTCGTTGGCCACTTGTGTGTCTTCTTTTGAGAAGAATCTATTCATATATTTAAGCCCACTTTTTAATGGAGTTAGTTGGTTTTGGTTGTTCATTTGCTTAAGTTCCTTATGGATTCTGGATATTAGATCTTTGTTGGATGCATAGTTTGTGAATATATTCCCCTATTCTATAGGTTGTCTGTTTGCTCTGTTGATAGTTTGTTAATGTGCAGAAGCGCTTTAGTTTAATTAGGTTCCACTCATTGATTGTTTTGTTGCAAATGCTTTTAAGGACTTGGTCATAAATTCTTTTCCAAGGCCAATGTCTAAATGGTATTTTCTAGATTTTCTTCTAGGATTCTTATAGTTTGAGGTCTCATATTTAAATATTTAATCCATCCTGGGTTAATTTTTGTATATGGTAAAAGAGTCCAATTTCATTCTTCTGTGTATGGCTAGCCAGGTATCCCAGCAACATTTATTGAATAAAGAGTCCTTTCCCCACTGCAAAAAGAGCAAATCTGAAGGCATCACATTACCCAACTTCAAAATACTTTATATGGCTACAGTAACCAAAACAGCATGGGACTGGTACAACAGCAGACACATAGACCAACAGAACAGAACAAGGAACCTAGAAATGAGTCTGCACACCAGTAGCCATCTGATCTTTGACAAAATTGACAATAAATATTCCTTGAATAAAGAAAATAGTAATTGCAAGTAGGAGGGAAAAGACTAAGGTTGCTTTCACAACATATATGTCTATGTGAATTTCGTGACCGCCAAAGATTTAGAAATTTAAGATAAGAGTAAATTTGAGACAAATATGATACAGTTAAGGTGGAGCATGTTAAGAGTTACCAGCTGTCTCAGTTTCCTGGACCTGAAGGATTTCCCAGAATGCAGGAATTTCAGTGACTAAACTGAAGCAGTTCCTGGACAACTGGGATAGTAGGTGCCCCTAACATAGAGATGCCTGGGAGAAATATGCCAGAGAGTCAGCAGGTTACTGAGTTGTAGAGTTTAGAAGAAAGACCTGCACTATAGAAATATATTTGTTGATTCATCAACATTGGGTATTATGTGATTTTATAAGGGTAGATGAGTTTTCTAAAGACTGTGTCGATGTTAAAAAAAAGTTATCTTTAAGTTCAATGTTCAGAGTGTAGGCTTAAGGCTTGCTGTGCATTTTGCCTTTCAGGGGAGATATGAGTTCCAGAAGAATCTTCTGAAGATTCCATAGGTCTGGTTCTGTCCGTGGTTTACACATAAGAGTTAATCAAAGGTGTATGAAATTTCTACCCTATCAAGCTCAGCTAACTAAGAAAGATTCCAGGCATGTGCCTCGGTATAAAAGGGAATAAAATATCATGGAGAAAGCATTGTGGAACCTAAAATAATTAGTTAATAAGCAAATTTGTTTTTTTTTTTTTTTTGGAAAGATGAGCAAACTTTTCAGAGTGAAGAAATTCTAACTTGCTCTTATTTTAAAACTACTCAAAGGAAACCACATGAAAGGTATTGTTTTCTCTGCTTTGTTGGCAGCAGAGCTGATTGTACTGATTCCTAGGTCTGTAAGTTACATTGTAGGCTTGCAAATGATAAAAAATATTAAATAATAATAGAGAATGAGATATTGAAGTTTACGAAATATTAGCAGTGACACTGAAAGGCTAATGGATATATGGATTTTAAGTACATCTCATGAAATGTAGTCTAGGCCGTTGGGAAGCATTAGTGGAAACTGTTACATTCTGAAACTTTGTCCTTGTCTACCTTTAAGCATTTCTGAAAATTACCTCATAAATCTTTTATTCATTTTCTATAATCCTGTTGGGCGTTGCACTCTCTTTAAATATGTCAGATCTGGCATTTTTCAGGTATACATATTTTCTTCCAGTTCTGGCACTGGAGGTTTATAACCACCAATAGAATTTATGAGAGTTGGGAGAGTAATTTTAAAAACTCTGTGGAATTTCTTTCTGACCCATGGAAGAAGCAGAAACACTTATTCTAACCTGTGCCATCCAACTTGGCAGCTGCTAGCTACAGGTGGCTATTGAGCACAGGAAGTGTAGCTAATTCTAATTGAAATGGGCTCTAAGTGTGAAATACACTCTGGATTTTGAAGACTTCATATGAAACAAAGAATATAATAAAATACTTTATCATTAGTTTTATTTAATAATGATTTAAATCAGTATAATAAATTTATTTAATGAATTAGATAAATGTATAACATTTATTAAATATGATTAAATATCAAAATAATATTTTTGATATTATTTTTTGATTTTTGATTCATTGTGTTCAATAAAATAGAATATTAAAATGAATTTCACCTGTTTATTTTTGCTTTTGTAATGTGGCCAATAGAAAATTAAAAATATACATATATATGGGTTGCATTTGTGGCTCACATTTAATTTCTATTGGGTGATGTTGTTCTACACTTTACTTCTTAATCTCTTCCCATTCAAATACAAGTGCAAAATGAGAGAACACATTGTATGAGCATGTCTGTGTGTGCATGTGTATGTTGATGGGGTAGTTGGAGTTAACAAGTTTGTAATCATGTTGTTTCTCTCAACTATCTATAGTTCTTGTCTGACCTTAAATGTAAAATTCTAAATACCAATGACATAGCCTAACAATGCCTTTTTATCTCTTTATACATAAAAAACAAATATTAAATGAGGACTTCATGGACTGGGCCTACTATTTCATCCTTAAACAGAGAAAATGTTTTATAGATGTATAGGTTAAATCTAGGGATACTTCCCCCTAATCTTTTTCAAGCACTCTCTTGAGAAGAAGACATACTTTAAAGCATGCATTACAGGTATTACAGGTATTATTTTATGACAGCTTTCAAATGTTGATACCTTTTTTACTTATAAGCTTGTGAACCCTGAGATAATGCTGAAATTCTTTAAAAATATATTATTACAGTATTCAAGTTTAGCAATGTGGTATTTGCTGAATTTTATATGTAATTCTGAATTACAAATCATAAATGAAAACTATCCTCAGTTGTATAATGATAACATACATTCACATTTTCTTTCCATGAAAGGAATTATTTGAAAATGCTTATTAAATGCTATTGTGTGCAAAGTATTTTTCTAAATCCTTACAACAAATCTATGAGTTGGTCACTATAAATACTCCTTTTTATAGATCAGGCAATGGATACACTGAGAAATTAACTTACTTGAACGAAGTCACTCAAATAGCCAAAGAGCAGATTCAGCCCTGGCAGTCTGGTTCCACAGTTACAACCTAATCATCATGAGATACTGTTTCTCTTTATGCTATTTTAATCACATTTCATATTTCAACTATTTTGCCATATATATGTGTATATATGTGTATATATATACATACAGACATATATGTGTATATATAGGTTAACATTGATTAAGTACTAACATGTATCAGATACAGTAAAAATATATTTATTATCTTGCTAAATCTTACAACAATCCCTATGGGACTTGTGGTTCCTAGTTTAAGGACAGCAAATTGAAGACCGCAGAGATTGTGAGCACAGCTGGGGCTCAAGCCCTGATCATGTCTGTGGCCAAAGTCCTGTTCTGTATTATGACACAACTGAGAGAGTTTGCAAGACAAAATCTTAGATCCTTGAAGGCAACCAAAATAGAGTGATTGTGTAGAGTTAAAATACAGGACCTGATGCAAAATTTAATGGGAAGTAAAGAAAGGACAAACCACTGGGTATAGAAGCAGATAATTAGATGGAGAAAATGAATGCAAAGGTTTAACAGGAGATACGCTACATTTTAATAATTTTTTAAAATTATACTTTAAGTTCTAGGGTACATGTGCACAGTGTGCAGGTTTGTTACATATGTATACATGTGCCATGTTGGTGTGCTGTACCCATTAATTTGTCATTTACATTAGGTATTTCTCCTAATGCTATCCCTTCCCCAACCCCACAACAGGCCCCAGTGTGTGATGTTCCCCAGCCTGTGTCCAGGTGTTCTCACTGTTCAATTGCCACCTATGAATGAGAACATGCGGTGTCTGGTTTTCTGTCCTTGTGATAGTTTGCTCAGAATGATGGTTTCCAGCTTCCTCCATGTCCCTGCAAAGGACATGAACTCATCCTTTTATATGGCTGCATAGCATTCCATGGTGTATATGTGCCACATTTTCTTAATCCAATCTATCATTGATGGACATTTGGGTTGGTTCCAAGTTTTTGCTATTGTGAATAGTGCCACAATAAACATACATGTGCATGTGTCTTTATAGTAGCAGGATCTATAATCCTTTGGATATATACCCAGTAATGGGATTGCTGTGTCAAATGGTATTTCTAGTTCTAGATCCTTGAGGAATTGCCACACTGTCTTCCACGATGGTTGAACTACTTTACACTCCCACCAACAGTGTAAAAGTGTTCCTATTTCTTCAATCCTCTCCAGCACCTGTGTTTCCTGACTTTTTAACGATTGCCATTCTAACTGGTATGAGATGGTATCTCATTGTGGTTTTAATTTGCTTTTCTCTGATGTCCAGTGATGATGAGCATTTCTTCATGTGTCTTTTGGCTGCATAAATATCTTCTTTTGAGAAGTGTCTGTTCATATCCTTCACCCACTTTTTGTTGGGGTTGTTTGATTTTTTCTTGTAAATTTGTTTAATTTCTTTGTAGATTCTGGATATTAGCCCCTTATCAGATGGATAGATTGCAAAGATTTTCTCCCATTTTGTAGGTTGCCTGTTCACTCTGATGGTGGTTTCTTTTGCTGTGCAGAAGCTCTTTAGTTTAATTAGATCCCATTTGTCAATTTTGGCTTTTGTTGCCATTGCTTTTGGTGTTTTAGACATGAAGTCCTTGCCCATGCCTATATCCTGAATGGTATTGCTAGGTTTTCTTCTAGGGATTTTATGGTTTTAGGTCTAACATTTAAGTCTTTAATCCACCTTGAATTAATTTTTGTACAAGGTGTAAGGAAGGGATCCAGTTTCAGCTTTCTACATATGGCTAGCCAGTTTTCCCAGCATCATTTATTGAATAGAGAATCCTTTCCCCATTTCTTGTTTTTGTCAGGTTTGTCAAAGATCAGATGGTTGTAGATATGTGGTATTATTTCTGAGGGCTCTGTTCTGTTCCATTGGTCTATGTCTCTATTTTGGTACCAGTACCATGCTGTTTTGGTTACTGTAGCCTTGTGATATAGTTTGAAGTCAGGTAGTGTGATGCCTCCAGCTTTGTTCTTTTGGCTTAGGATTGTCTTGGCAATGCGGGCTCTTTTTTGGTTCCAAATGAACTTTAAAGTAGTATTTTCCAATTCTGTGAAGAAAGTTATTGGTAGCCTGATGGGGATGGCATTGAATCTATAAATTACTTTGGGCAATATGGCCATTTTCACGACATTGATTCTTCCTACCCATGAGCATGGAATGTTCTTCCATTTGTTTGTGTCCTCTTTTATTTCGTTCAGCAGTGGTTTGTAGTTCTCTTTGAACAGGTCCTTCACATCCCTTGTAAGTTGGATTCCTAGGTATTTTATTCTCTTTGAAGCAATTGTGAATGGGAGTTCACTCATGATTTGGCTCTTTGTTTGTCTGTTATTGGTGTATAGGAATGCTTGTGATTTTTGCACATTGATTTTGTATCCTGAGACTTTGCTGAAGTTGCTTCTCAGCTTAAGGAGATTTTGGGCTGAGACGATGGGGTTTTCTAAATACACAATCATGTCATCTGCAAACAGGGACATTTTGACTTCCACTTTTCCTAACTGAATACCCTTTAATTCCTTCTCCTGCCTGATTGCCCTGGCTGGAACTTCCAACATTATGTTAAAAAGGAGTGGTGAGAGAGGGCATCCCCGTCTTGTGCCAGTTTTCTAAGGGAATGCTTCCAGTTTTTGCCCATTCATTATGATATTGCCTGTGGGTTTGTCATAAATAGCTCTTATTATTTTGAGATATGTCCCATCAATACCTAGTTTATTGAGAGTTTTTAGCATGAAGGGCTGTTGAATTTTGTCAAAGGGCTGTTGAATTTTTTCAAAGGCCTTTTCTGCATCTATTGAGATAATCATGTGATTTTTGTCTTTGGTTGTGTTTATATGATGGATTACGTTTACTGATTTGTGTATGTTGAACCAGCCTTGCATCCCAGGGATGAAGCCAACTTGATTGTGGTGGATAAGCTTTTTGATGTGCTGCTGGATTCGGTTTGCCAGTATTTTATTGAGGATTTTTGCATCGATGTTCATCAGGGATATTGGTCTAAAATTCTCTTTTTTTGTTGTGTCTCTGCCAGGCTTTGGTATCAGGATGATGCTGGCCTCATAAAATGAGTTAGGGAGGATTCTCTCTTTTTCTATTGATTGGAATAGTTTCAGAAGGAATGGTACCAGCTTCTCTTTGTACCTCTGGTAGAATTTGGCTGTGAATCCTTCTGGTCCTGGACTTTTTTGGTTGTAGGCTATTAATTATTGCCTGAATTTCAGAGCCTGTCATTGGTCTATTCAGAGATTCAATTTCTTCCTGGTTTAGTCTTGGGAAGGTGTATGTGTCAAGGAATTTATCCATTTCTTGTAGATTTTCTAGTTTATTTGCACAGAGTTCTTTATAGTATTCTCTGATGGTAGTTTGTATTTCTGTGGGATCGGTGGTGATATCCCCTTTATCATTTTTTATTGCATCTATTTGATTCTTCTGTGGTTTCTTCTTTATTAGTCTTGCTAGCTGTGTATTTTGTTGATCTTTTCAAAAAACCAGCTCCTGGATTCATTGATTTTTTGAATGGGTTTTTGTGTCTCTATCTCCTTCAGTTCTGCTCTGATCTTAGTTATTTCTTGCCTTCTGTTAGCTTTTGAATGTGTTTGCTCTTGCTTCTCTAGTTCTTTTAATTGTGATGTTAGGGTGTCAATTTTAGATCTTTCCTGCTTTCTCTTGTGGGCATTTAGTGCTATAAATTTCCCTCTACACACTGCTTTAAATGTGTCCCAGAGATTCTGGTATGTTGTGTCTTTGTTCTCGTTGGTTTCAAAGAACACCTTTATTTCTGTCTTCATTTTGTTATTTAACCAGTAGCCATGCAGGAACAGGTTGTTCAGTTTCCATGTAGTTGTGAAGTTTTGAGTGAGTTTCTTAATCCTGAGTTCTAATTTGATTACACTGTGGTCTGAGAGACAGTTTGTTATGATTTCTGTTCTTTTACATTTGCTGAGGAGTGCTTTACTTCCTAATATGTGGTCAATTTTGGAATAAGTGTGATGTGGTGCTGAGAAAAATGTATATTCTGTTGATTTGGGGTGGAGAGTTCTGTAGATGTCTATTAGGTCCACTTGGTGAGGCGCTGGGTTCAAGTCCTGGATATGCTTGTTAACTTTCTGTCTTGTTGATCTGTCTAATGTTGACAGTGGGGTGTTAAAGTCTCCCATTATTATTCTGTGAGAGTTTAAGTCTCTTTATAGGTCTCTAAGGACTTGCTTTATGAATCTGGGTGCTCCTGTATTGGGTGCATATATATTTAGGATAGTTAGCTCTTCTTGTTGAATTGATCCCTTTACTATATGTAATGGCCTTCTTTGTCTCTTTTGATTGCTATTGGCTTAAAGTCAGTTTTATCAGAGATTAGGATTGCAACCCCTGCCTTTTTTTGTTTTCCATTTGCTTGGTAGATCTTCCTCCATCCCTTTATTTTGAGCCTATGTGTGTCTCTGCACATGAGATGGGTCTCCTGAATACAGCACACTGACGGGTCTTGACTCTTTATCCAATTTGCCAGTCTGTGTCTTTTAATTGGGGCATTTAGCCCATTTATATTGAAGGTTAATATTGTTATGTGTGAATTTGATCCTGTCATTATGATGTTAGCTGATTATTTTGCTCATTAGTTGATGCAGTTGCTTTCTAGCATCAATGGTCTTTACAATTTGGCATGTTTTTGCAGTGGCTGGTACTGGTTGTTCCTTTCCATGTTTAGTGCTTCCTTCAAGAGCTGTTGTAAGGCAGGCCTGGTGGTGATGAAATCTCTCGGCATTTGCTTGTCTGTAAAGGATTTTATTTCTCATTCACTCATGAAGCTTAGTTTGGCTAGATATGAAATTCTGGGTTGAAAATTCTTTTCTTTAAGAATGTTGAATATTGGCCCCCACTCCCTTCTGGCTTGTAGAGTTTCTGCCAAGAGATCAGCTGTTAGTCTGATGGGCTTCCCCTTGTGTGTAACCCGACCTTTCTCTCTGGCTACCCTTAACATTGTTTCCTTCATTTCAACCTTGGTGAATCTGACGATTATGTGTCTTGGGGTTGCTCTTCTTGAGGAGTATCTTTGTGGCGTTCTCTGTATTTCCTGAATCTGAACGTTGGCCTGCCTTGCTAGATTGGGGAAGTTCTCCTGGATAATATCCTGAAGAGTGTTTTCCAACTTGGTTCCATTCTCTCCATCACTTTCAGGTACACCAGTGAAATGTAGACTTGGTCTTTTCACATAGTCCTGTGTTTCTTGGAGGCTTCATTTGTTTCTTTTTACTCTAAACTTCTCTTCTCACTTCATTTCATTTATTTGATCTTCAATCACTGATACCCTTCCTTCCACTTGATCAAATCGGCTACTGAAGCTTGTGCATGCGTCACGTAGTTCTCATGCCATGGTTTTCATCTCCATCAGGTCATTTAAGGTCTTCTCTATGCTGTTTATTCTAGTTAGCCATTCTTCTAATGTTTTTTCAAGGTTTTTAGCTTCCTTGCTATGGGTTCGAACATCCTCCTTTAGCTCGGAGAAGTTTGTTATTACTGATCTGCTGAAGCCTACTTCTGACAACTTGTCAAAGTTTCTCTGTCCAGCTTTGTTCTGTTGCTGGTGATGAGCTGCAATCCTTTGGAGAAGAAGAGGTGCTCTGGGTTTTAGAATTTTCAGCTTTTTTGTTCTGGTTTCTCCCCATCTTTGTAGTTTTATCTACCTTTGGTCTTTGATGATGGTGACCTGCAGATGGGGTTTTGGTATGGATGTCCTTTTTGTTGATGTTGATGGTATTCCTTTCTGTTCGTTAGTTTTCCTTCTAACAGTCAGGACCCTCAGCCGCAGGTCTGTTGGAGTTTGCTGGTGGTCCACTCCAGACTCTGTTTGCCTGGGTATCACCAGCAGAGGCTGCAGAACAGCAAATATTGCAGAACAGCAAATGTTGCTGCCTGATCCTTCCTCTGGAAGCCTTCATCTTAGAGGGGCACCCAGCCGTATGAGGTGTTAGTTGGCTACTGACTGGGAGCTATCTCCTGGTTAGGCTACTCGGGGGTCAGGGACCCACTTGAGGAGGCAGTCTGTCTGTTCTCAGATCTCAAACTCCATGCTGGGAGAACCACTGCTCTCTTCAAAGCTGTCAGACAGACAGCTGCAGAAATTTCTGCTGCCTTTTGTTCAGCTATGCCCTGCCCCCAGAGGTGGAGTCTACAGAGGCAGGTAGGCCTTGTTGAGCTGCAGTGGGCTCCACTCAGTTCGAGCTTCCTGTCTGCTTTGTTTACCTAGTCAAGCCTCAGCAATGGCGGACACCCCTCCCCCAGCCTCGCTGCTGTCTTGCAGTTCAATCTTGGACTGCTCTGCTAGCAGTGAGCAAGGCTCCATGGGTATGGGACCCTCTGAGCCAGGCGCAGAATATAATCTCCTGGTGTGCCGTTTGCTAAGACCATTGGAAAAGTGCAGTATTAGGGCGAGAGTGTCCCCATTTTCCAGGTACCACCTGTCATGGCTTCCCTTGGCTAGGAAAGGGTATTCCCTGACTCCTCGTGCCTCCTGGGTGAGGCGATGCCCCACCCTGCTTCGGCCCACACTCCATGGTCTGCACCCACTGTCCAACCAGTGCCAATGAGATGAACCCAGTACCTCAGCTGGAAATGCAGAAATCACCCGTCTTTTTTGTCGCTCATGCTGGGAGCTGTAGACTAGAGCTGTTCCTATTTGGCCATCTTGGAATGATCCCCTATTTCAATAATTTTTTTACTTAATTATATAATTAGGAGAAAAGAGAGCACCAAGACAAATCAGATGGTAAAGATATAGGAATATAGGTAAAATTCTCGGATATCATAGTATATGAGATACTTACTATAGAGTATCTTTATAAATGACACTAGTTTTACACATTCACATTTGGTTTCACTAGATCACCTTCACTGTATTATTAAATACAAACTGCTTTTGATTCTTTGAAATTTATGCCCTGAGGCCTCAGACAGGTTTTTAGAACAAATAGGGATTATTTTACTCTTGTTACTATTTGCTAACTTCCTGTGGGTTTCACTTAAATGTTGGTTGATGTAAATTACCCATAGGTATCTCTAGCCCAGAAAAATATTTGGTTCATTTGGCAATTAGTGAGATAGGAAAGTCCAAAGTTATGCAGATCCGGCAGCAAAGATTTTTCATGAACTGTCTAATGTAGGAAAGTTATAAACACTGGATCGGAAAAAAAAGCCCACTGTTTTTGTGTGTGGGCTTTAGGACATTGTGAAGTGAAATAAATGTTCGGTGTTGTGTGGCATGTAAACTCAGATTCAGAGCAGTGGGAGGCAACTGTGTGTTGCTATGTTTTATATTTAGTGAAAGATTAATAATGGCAGAAAAATGAAACAAATGCAATTTTTGAGACCCTCTTTGGGATTAGATACTGCATGTGTTATAATTTGATATCCTTACAGTGACTTTCTAAAGTAGGTATTATTGCCATTTTTACATTTAGAGAAACTAAGGCTCAGGGAGCTTATATAACTTGCCAAATATCACATAACAAGTAATTGATGGGTTGAGGCTTTAATGCCAGTACTTTCAGTTTCAAAACCCAGCTGTTGCAGAGCAGAGAATCCCCAGGAGAGTAAAATTTAGCAGAAGACCTGGAGATTTCCACATCTTTAGTCTTTCAGAAAACACTTATGGTGTCCTTTTTGTAAAGGTCCATACTTGACACATAATGGATTAAAACTTTAAAAACAGTATTGTCCTCATAATCAAAAACATATTATTTGGACCTTGTCTCAGAATTACTAACCAATAAAAATTACTAGCTATGTCAAGATAGATAGCATAGTGGCCAACAGGGCCATACGACTGAATGATTTTTATGACATTTTCTGATAATGCCATCCTGACATTACAATTTAGCAACTGTTAGAAGAAACACATTTCTCACTCTTCTGATATGTTTTTTTCCCAATAGAAAGAAGTCACATTAGCGTCGCACACCTTCCACACTATTCGTCCAACTCACTCTGGCCCTGGGGCCTGGGAAAGAATGACAAAATCGGTGAATTTGGGAGGCATAATCTGTGCGTACAGGCTTGGCACTGTCCTTCTTTCCTCTTGGGAAATCAGTCTACCTTCAGAAAGTGAAATTTCTCTCATGCTTCTCTAGGGTCTGGCCTCCTGCATAGGGCCAACCTGGCTGTGACTGGAGACATAAGATTGTCCATTTCTGGGCTTAGGCACAAGGCCCATTTCAATCTCATATGAAGCTCAGTCCCCAAAATTAGACTTTATCAGCAATAACGTTGACATTTTAACATTTATCCTTTAGTACTTTTTCTTCTTCTCTTGTGGTTCAGTAATTGAAAAAGTAAAACAGAAAGTATTTATTTTGCTTCTCAAAGCCTGAAACATTTGGTATATTTTCTGAGAAAACAGAAGAATAAAAGAGAAAGTGGATTTGCAGACTCAGCATGTGGAGAGGTTTTGTTGTGTGTGACTTTGAGCTTCCTTAAGTGGGCAGCAAACTGGGATCTTGGCAGCCTTTTAAGACTGACCATAGGCCTGTTTTTGTCTTTTTAAAATTAAAAATAAGTATTTGTACATATTTATGGGGTACCTGTGATATTTTGATACATAGATGCAACGTGTAATGATCAAACAGGGTATTTAGTCTGTCTATCACCTGGGCTTTTATAATTGTGACATTTAAGATGTCCATCGGGTATTAAATCTTGGAGGATAGAAAGAAGCACTGTCCCATGGGTGATGTAACATGGGCTCCTTCTCTTGAGAGGCCGAAATACACTCCAGGATGACACAGGAGTAATGATTAGGCCCAATGGGTTAAGGAAATTAAAAGCTGGGACTATTGTAAATGTCTTCCCTAGTTCTAACATTTTCTTCCTTGTTTAAGTAGCCCCATTTGTATAACACACGGTCTCTCCCCACACATTTGTTCAACCCATTTCCTGGCAGGTGGAGTGATTTATCTGAATGTTATATTTGGGAAGAATAACTGAGTGTGTTTGGCTCAATGTCAGCCTTCTATCCTCTTTTGGATTCTATCTGCTCACAGACAGCAGGTCTCCGTTTCTTTCCAGGACAAGTTCTATTGATATGTCAGGGATGCCCGCCTTATTCCAGCATTATTGTAATTTGGTAGATACGTCTGATTAATTCTCGCATTCAGTTTGCATACCTATTGGTCTTATTTCTTAATTTAGTCAGATATTCAGTGGGAATGAAGGACATTATTTATTTGGTCTTCTTAGAGATGACAGAAGCAGTGAGGGCAAGGAAGAAGCTTGATCAGTGATTTAAATCAGTGTTTTCTAAACTATGCTCCATGCAGCATCTGTGTTTTACCTGACACATTTTTGAGATAGTTTCAGAAAATTTGTTCTATAGGCAAATATATTTGGAAAACATTGAGTTAAACAAAGATAAACAAGGAATTTGTTTCATTTTGCTTTTCCTACCATGTGATTTTGGAAAGGCTTTAAGCTGACACCTCTATAAAAAAAACACTAAAATACATAGAGTTTAAACATTTTGTTTTCTCATATTCTTTTTTACATAAATCATTTTTGATCTCTTTGTTATTTTTAAAATACTGATGTGCAATTATTTGGAAACTTGATTGCATATTTTTATTTATATTCAAATGAAACTTCCTCGGTAACTTTTAAAAAATCATACCAACTTCCAATCCCATACTCCAAATATTTTTTTGAATTTGTAGGTATACAGAATAACTACAATAGCTAGTAAAGACTATGATTGTGCAAAAATACAGAACTATAGTTTCTGCACTAATGAAAGCACTAAAAAAATAATTTTTAAAAACTTTATATTAAGTTTGTAAAATGTGATGAGGACTTGGCTAATAAACTACCCAGTACAGTACATTTAATCTCACACGTCACAAAACTCCAAATGAGAAAATGCACACTACATTTAACCTCATGAGCTAAAAAACTCCAAATGAGTTTCTGTGCATTGGCAATGACATGAGGAAAAAAATGCTTTGTTGTGTATTTGCTAACTGTGGGAGGTTACATCTTGTTTTATAATGAGGATAGATAAAGTAGTCTTTTTTTTTTTTCTTAGCATTTGGGTTTCTTTAACAAAAAGTGTCAAAGAGTTAGGAAAAGCAAACTGTGGGTAACCCTGAAACAAGAGCATCAAAAATAACAAAGATAATGATAGAAATAAATATAACCGAAAAGGATCATCAAATAGATAAAAACGTCAAATTCAAAAGTTGGTTCTTTAAAAGACAACAAATTGATAAAAGATAAACAAATTGAATTCAATATTAGTAAAGAAAAAAGAAAAGTCAGAATTAACATAAACAATAAAAAGGGAAATAAAACATGTAAAGTAAGACTAAATATTACAAGTGAGCATAATAAACAATTCTGTGTCATTGTTTGAAAGCTTAGTTGAAAAGGTTAGTTGTCTGAAAGGTTAATTGAAAATACTGTCTCAAAAATTTAAAAATGGACAATGATAAGTTGTTAAACATTTCTCCAACCAAAATTTGAAACCCTGTTGTTTTTATAGTTAAGCTTCAATCAAGAAAGATAGGAATTGTTATGGTTTGGCTCTGTGTCCCCATACAAATCTCTTTTTTTTTTTCTGGCAATAAATATTTTAATTTTTGTTTCATTTTTATGTTGA
This sequence comes from Homo sapiens, assembly GCF_000001405.40. NCBI lineage: Eukaryota > Metazoa > Chordata > Mammalia > Primates > Hominidae > Homo > Homo sapiens. Next base: position 95,467,485 of record NC_000006.12, on the reverse strand, counting down.
TAAATAATTTTCAAGTTTATTTCCTTGTTTGTTTAAATACAAAGCTAAATCACAAACAGGTACAATCAAGACAATCTCACATTTACACCCCTGTTGGATCCTTTCTGATTTGCTGACCACTGACCACACTAGCGGGGAATGGGGGGAAGACTTTCTTAGGTAGCACCATCGTGAGGCCATGGGTGGGGTTCGGGGAAATCAAAGAGGAGGACAGGCTCTCTTGCCTGCCTCCATTCCCATTTACTTGGGATCAGGGTGGTCAGGAGACCCCAGGTCAGGGCTCCTGATCCCCGGTGCCCTGGACTGAAGGGACAGTGAGTGAGAATCAGTCCTGTGTAGGGAGGGAGGAGGCAGTCACCTATTCCTCCTGCCATCACAGTCAAGGTGAAAACCTTAGCCTTATCCTTGATTCCTAGGGGCCGCTGGGCTCTGCACACTCCCCTGCATACCTGGATGCCTTTCTCTGAGGCTGGCAGTGGCAACTGGGGTCGGGAGTCCTGGGTTTGTAGGTTTACACCTCAGCTCCTGGCTGCATCCTCACAGGAGGGACACCAGTGTCTGACAAACACAAGGCTCAACCTTTTAACCCCCAGCAGGATGGGGGAAAAATAAGCCGGAGGACGGAGGGAATGTTAGGTAAGTAATTCTGGTCCCACTACAACCAAATCTCATGTTGAATTGTGATCCCCAGTGTTGGAGGTGGGGCCTGGTAGAGGTAATTGAATCATGGGGATGATTTCTGAAGGTTTAGCACCATCCCCTTAGTGCTGCCTCCTGAGAGAGTTCTCACAAGATCTGGTTGTTTGAAAGTATGTAGCACCTTCCTCTTCATTCTCTCTCTTCCTCCTGCTCCAGCCATGTAGGACGTGCCAGATTTCCCTTTGACTTCAACCATGATTGTAAGTTTCCTGAGGCCTCCTCAGCCATGCTTCTGGTACATCCTGAAGAACCATGAGCCAATTAAACCTCTTTTTAAATAAATTACCCAGTTTCATGCAGTTCTCTATAGCAATGTGAGAACTAACTAATATGATAGTGTTAACTTTTGCAAACTCTCTAGCTAATAGATAAAGCCATAGATTTACAATTCATTTACTGAGTGTAATATGACTTTGAAACTACAAGTGATCAAACCATAAAAAGAAAATTACAGAGTAATATCATCTGGATATAATTCAAAATTCTACATACTTATTTACAAAAAATTCTGGAATATTTAAAAAAATTTTAGTAAGACTAAGCTAACTTGTAAGCAACAGAAAATTTATTAGTATAAATCTTCACATTAAAAGAAAATAATCAGATGATCAATTTTATTGCAGTGATTCTCTCTTCCTGCCCTCTCTCCGTCTCTGTGTTATCTATATCTCATTCAATATCATAATCAATGAAATGCTAGAAACAATTCATTTCATTTTGTAACAAAAAATTCTTAATAATGTCACTTTGATTAACATTTCCCTGGGGATAGTGAAATAAATCAAGAGAAATAGATAAAATAAGAAAAACTAAAAAAGAAAAACTCTTAGGTAAATAATTGAAGAAGTTATACTGCCACACTTTACTACCTAATTAAGAAATTCAAAAAGTTTGAAGGACAAAAGACCCATACTTAGCAATAAATTGTATTTCTTAAATTAGGACTACCTTGTTAGAATATAAAGTTTTTTAAAAGAAAAAATTAATAATAGCAAACATACTGTCTAGGTTTTTTTTTGTTTTTTTTTTTGATATGGAGTCTCACTCTGTCACTAGGCTGGAGTGCAATGGCACAATCTCGGCTCACTGAACCCTCCACTTCCCAGGTTCAAGCGATTCTCCTGCCTCAGCCTCCCAAGTAACTGGGACTACAGGTGCCACCATGCCCAGCTAATTTTTGTATTTTTTAGTAGAGATGGGGTTTCGCCATGTTGGCCAGGATGGTCTCAATCTCTTGACCTTGTGATCAGCCGGCCTCGGCCTCCCAAAGTGCTGGGATTACAGGCATGAGCCACCACACCCAGCCTATCTAGAAATAATTTTCGTAAAACTGTGTACATCTTTCGGGAGGCAAAATTCTAATTTTATTTGTTTCTATATAATTAACCACCTTTCATTGTATCTTTTATTGGAGTCATTCATTTCTTGACAGTCTAATAGTACTACTTTTCATATATCCCAGTGAAACTTAGTCCTAAAAAATAAAAAAGGCCTAAAAATTAAAAAGAAAATCTAGCTAAATAGGGATGTAATATGTCTAAAGGTAGGATGGTTTGATGATAGAAAATGGCTGTTCTCTCTCAAAATAATTTGTAAGTTCAATGTAATAATAACAAAAATTCAATAAGATTTTTAAAAGAAATTGAAATGCAGTCTCCAAAATGTATGTGGTAGGGCAAAGGCCATGAAATATCAAAGCAATATTGAAAAAATATAATGATTAATGATTTACCATGTTAAGTATCAAGACTTACCAAAAAACAATAGTCATTTTATTGGTATTATAATTGCACATTGATTAGCAATTAAACAATGGAATTAAATAGATAAAGAATAGACTCATATGTATTTAGTAGTTTAGTATACAAAACTGTACAAAGCAAATTTAAAATTCTATAAACATATTTACAAAAAAATGCTGGAAGTAAATGCTGTTTTGAAAAAAGATATTTTGTTCATATGGAAACAAATATAATTGGAAATATAATTCATAAATTGTATGAAAAAATTGTAAATAATTAGATACTTAATTTGAAAGTTGTAAGTTTTTTAGAAATAAATAGGAAATCATCAGTATGATACTAGATTATGGAAGGATTTGTTATATGAGATGTCTAAAACACTAACTGTACAAAATATATCGATAAACTTGATTACATTAAAATTCAAAATTTCTGTAGGACAGGAATGTAATAAGGAATAAAAAATTAATCCATGGATTGGAAAAAGACCTGTAAATTTAAATTTATAATATATGAAATGCACAGATGAGTAGATGAAAAATCCAATTGAAAAGTTGTCTAAAAGTATAAGCAAAAAATTAATAGTAGAAAACACCTGAATGTCTAATGAATACATAGAAAGACTTTTCAACCTCAGCCAGTAAATACATTAAAACAACCTTTACTTTAATACAACAACAACAAAACCTAATATAAAAGTAGTCAAATAATTTGAACAGATATTTCTTCAAAGAAGATATACAGATGATCAAGAAGAATATGGAAACATGCTCAACATCACTAATTATTAGGGAAATGCAAATCAAAACCATAATAAGATACCACTTTGCACACATTAGGATGGCTGTTATAAGACAAAAACCAAATAGCAAGTATTGATGAGGATGTGGAGAAATTGCAACCCTTGTGCATTGTTGGTGGAAGTATAAAATTGTACAGCCACTTTCAGAAACCGTATGGCAGTTCCTAAAGTAATTAAACATGGCATGACTATGATCCAGCAATTCCACTTCTCTGTATATAACCAAAAGAAGAAGTGCAACCAGAGATTCAAACAGATATTTAATGTCAATGTTCATAGCAACATTGCCCAAAATGGAAACAACCCAAATGTCCATTGTCTGACAAACGGATACACAAAATGTGATATATACATGTAATAGAATGTACAGTTGACCCATGAACAACACAGGGGTTTGGAGGTCCTATTCTTCTGCACAGTTGAAAATCTGAGCATAGCTTTTTGCTTCCTCAAAACGTAACTACTAATAGACTACTGTTGACCAGAAGCCTTACCAATAACATAAAGTCATTTAGCATATATTTTGTATGTAATATATATTATATACTGTAATCTTACGATAAAGTATGCTTAAAAATATTATTAAGAAAATCATAGGAGGAAGAAGAAGAAGATGAGATTGGTCTTCTTGTCTCAGGGATGGCAGGGGCAGAAGAAATTTTGAATGTAAGTGGATTCATGCAGTTAAAATCTGTGTTGTTCAGGAGTCAACTGTATTCAATCTTAAAAAGAAATAAAATCCTGACATATGTCACCATGTGGATGAACTTTGGAAACATTGTGCTAAGTGAAATAAGGCTAGATACAAAAGAACAAGTATTATTGTACTGTATTATTACACTTATATGAGGATCTAGAGTAGACAGATTCACAGAGACAGGAAGTAATAGCTGGAGGGAAGAGGGGAATGGAGAGATATTGTTTAATGATTATAGAGTTTTATTTTGGGAAGCTAAAGTGTTCTGAATATGGATAGTAATTATGGTTGCACGACGTTGTGAATATACTTAATGCAACTAAATTATTCTATATAAAGAAAAAGGGTCAAAATGGTAAATTTTATGATATACATATATATTCTTACTGATATGAATAAAATAACACTGCTATAGCACTTCCTGCACATCAAAATGTGGAAAATAAAGTCTTCTGTTACCAGTCATTGGGGAGAATATGGAATAACAGGGGGCTAATCTATTTGGAATGAGTGTATACATTGATATAACCATTTTGGAGAGGGATTTTTGCAGGTGCCAGTAAAGTTGAAGATGGGCATACACAATACCCAGAAATTCCTTATCTTGTTTGTTGTTCAAGAGTTAGTCTGTGCTACTATTTAGTTATCTGTCCCCTTTAAAATTCATGTTGAAGTTTCATTCCCAATGTAGTAGTATTGAGGGGTAGGCCTTTAAATGTGATTGGATCATGAGGGCAGGGCCCTCATGGATGAATTAATCTATTCATGGATTAGGATTAATGCATTAAAGGATTACTGAGTTTTGGGAGAGGGGAACTGGTGACTTTTTAAGAGTAAGAGTTCTGAACTAGCACACTACCACGCTCAGCCCCCTCACCTTGTGATGCCACATGTTGTCTCAGAAATGTGCTGAGTCCCCACCAACAAGAAAGCTCTCACCAGATGTGGTCCCCGGAATTTGGACTTCTCAGCAACCATAATTACAATAAATAAATTCCTATCTTTACATATTACCAAATCCAGCTATTCTGTTTTAAGCAACAGAACATAGATGAAAAAGTCTGGTATGTGCTAAAGGGACACACTAACTTGTGTACCAGGATGTTCATTGCAAGTCTGTTTGTAATTGTGAAAAATAGGAAAATATGTAAATAAGCTGGAATTTTTGTCATACAATATCATGTTATACAGAGTTAATTTTTTAAAAACCTCAGCAATATAATGATTAGTGAAAAAGTTGCAAAAAGAAACAGAATAATTTTGTATCCAACACTAAATAATATTACTCATATATATTGCTATAGTTTGAATATGGTTTGTAACCACCAAATCTTATATGGGGGTTTGGTCCTCAATGTGGCAGTGTTGAAAGTTGGTGCCTTTAAGAAGTGATTAGTCATTAAGATGCATTAATATCTTTCTTGAGAGACTGAGTTAGTCCTCAAAAGACTGAATTATTTCTCTAGAAATCAGGTGGTTATAAAGCAAGGCTGCTTCTCATGGTTGGTCTCTTTGCCCAAGCCCTCTTCCCCTTCTGCTTCTCTGCCATGTTATGATGCAGCACCAGTCCCTTGCTGGAAGCCGCCCAGATAGAGCCACCTGATTTTGCACTTCCCATCCTCCAGAATCATGAGCCAAATAAACTTATTTGCTTTATAAATTACTTAGTCTCAGGTATTATGTTATAGCAATAGAAAATTAAGGAAGATACATATGCAATAAAAGCAAAACTCCAATGATATACATCAACTTCGGAATGGTGGTTATTTCTAAAGAAAGAGCATATAGGATGAAGGGGGAACTTTCAGTGACTATGTAAGTTTTAAAACACTTTTGATGAGATCTGATTTATTTTTAAAATAATTTTTTAAACAGATCTGTACTTTCATATGTTCCCATGAAGAATTCTATCTTTTTTTCAATTGGTTTAAAGTATCTTTCTGGAAAGCATCACTTCATCATATGTGAAAAAAGGAATATAGTGCTTTGCTTTCTATTTTCACCATGGCAAGACACAACTGTGGAATATTTCTTTTCAAGAAGTTTAAACTGATCAAACCCTAACGTCTCTTCAAGACTCCAGCCATAATTAGACAAGGTGACATTTGTAACATGAAACATAAAATATCTAACTAGTCTAACTTGAGATCAATTTATTGATCTTGTGATTACTGGGATAATGTTCAAATCAATATGGATGGTAAACTTTGATTTTGTAATAACTCTTTCTCATATATTCTATTTTCCATAATGCAATATTTCAAATATTTCACAAATATTATACAGCACCCTAAAATAACCCTGAGTGCAGATGCCTATGCCCATTTATGGACTTCCATTGATGGACTTCATCAGTCTGTTGTCTGAATGTGCTTCATAATAGAAGAAGTGTACAATTCCTATGAGTTATGATCTCAATTACATTTTTGCATCAACTGCATGAAGCTCATTTCAATTTTACAGTGAAGAAATGAGTCTAATAAAGCCTAAGTAACTTTCTCAAATGTGCATAGGCAATTTTTTAAAATGTCTCAGAAATTGTAGGAAGGAGTTAAACCCAGATTTGTCTGACTCTAAATTCTGGGCTGATTCCAACATATATTATGAGAACACACTTATGTTGGGTTATGATGACTTAAGGTGGGTATTGAGCTGTTTTATTTTAAACAGTATCATTATGGGGAAAAATTGATAAATGACAAAGTACATTCCAGCCTACTCTTGGGAGATGCTATGGTCTCCTGCTGTTTTACCTACTGTACATTGTTTTATTTTATAATTTATTTTATCTAAAAATTTAAGTTGGTATTATTTAATATCATTTTGATTAATAAATCATAGTTTTATACATATATGGAGTACAGTATGGTGTTTTAATGTATGTATACAATGTGGAATTATGAAACCAAGCTAATTAACATATTCATCACCTTACTTTCCTACAATTTTTGTGGTAAGATTTGAGATTTCATCTTTTATTTTGAAATATACCATACATATATTATTGTCTATAGTCACCCTGCTGTCCAATAGATTTCAAAACCTATTCATCCTGTCTATCTAAAACGATGTTCCCTTTGATCAAAAACTCCCCAGAACTCCCTTCTCAACACCCCTAGACCCCAGTAACTATCATTCTATTTCCTACTTCTGTAGTTCCACTTTTTTGATTCCATGTATAAGTGATATCATGGACTATTTGTCTTTCAGTGCCTGGATTATTTGACTTAGCATAATGTCTTTCAAATTAATACATTGCTGATGACATAATCTTACATATAGAAAACTCTAAAGACTTTACCAAAAAATTGTTAGAATTGATAAAAGAATTCATTAAAGTTGCAGGATACAGTCGGCACATAAATATCAGTAGCATTTCTATATACTAATAATGAATTATCCCAAAAGAAAATTAAGAAAACAATACCATTTAAAATATCAACTGCAACAAAAAATACCTAGGAATAACTTTTGGTTAAAAGACATGTATACTTAAAACTATAAAACACTGCTGAAAGAAATTGAAAGAAACAAAAATAAATGAAAATATACCTCATGTTCATGGACATTAAAAATTAATATTGTAATTAATTATTCATATGTCTTCAACATATTGATTTCAGTTCCTTTAAATGTATACCCAAAACATATGTGGGTATAAATTTTGTCAGTACTACCCCTAATCATCTACAGATTCAATGTCATCCTTATCAAAATACCAATGTAATTTTTCACAGAACTAGAAAAAAAAATCTTAAAATTTGTGTGGAATTACAAAAGACCTTGAATAGTCAAAACAATCTTGAAAAAAAAATTCTCCCTGAAAAACAAACAAACAGACAAACAAACAAACAAGCAAAGAAGACAAAGCTGAAGACATCACACTTTCTGATTTCAAAACATATTATAAAGCGATTGTAATCAAAACAACATAGTACTGTCATAAAAACAGACATTTCAACCTGTGCAATGGGATAGAAAGTCCAAATATCAATCCAGACGTTCATATTTAATTAAATTTTGACAAAGTTACCAAAAACACACAATGAGAAAGCAAAATAAATAATAAACAAAGTGAAGCGACAACTCACAGAATGAGAGAAAATATTTGCAAATTATATGTCTTATAAAGGATTAATATCCAAAGTATATAAGGAAGTTAAACAATTCAATAGCAGGAAAACAAATAATCTGATTTAAAAAATGGGCAAAGGAGTTAAAGAGACATTTCTCAAAAGAGGACATACAAATGGCCAACAGGTATATGAAAAAATGCTCAGCATTACTAATCATTAGAGAAATGCAAATTAAAACTACAATGATATATCACTTCACATCTGTTATAATGACTTTCATCAAAAAAATTAAAGATAAGTGCAGGCGAGGATAAGGAGAAAAGAAAACTCCTGTACTTTGTTGGTAGGCAGATAAATTAGTATGGCCATCATGATAAACAGTATAGAGCTTCCTTAAAAAAACAAGAATAGAACTCCCAGATGATCCGTCAATCCCACTACTGGGTATATATTTAAAAGAACTGAAATCAATATATTGAAGAAATATCTGCATTTCCATGTTCATTGTGGCAGTATTCACAATGGCCAAGATATGCAACTTACCTAAGGTCCATCGTCAGGTGAATAGATAGATAAAATTTGATACACACACACACACACACACACACACACACACACACACACACAGATATACTAATTAGCCCTAAAGAAGAAGGAAATGCTGCTCACAGCTCTTGATCCATCAAATTCTTCTGGAGAGATGACCTTGACAATAGAAGGACTATTTGGGCTAATATACTCTGAGCTATAAGAGTAGAAGGTATGGCTGCACATGGGTGGCTCTATAGGCTTAATGCATCAAAATGTTTCTTCACCTTATGATTTTCTTTAATGCAGTCTAAGATTTGCTTGCTCTTGCTGTGTCTCTACCTTTAGCTTTCGTTTTGTTCTGTTTCTCATACACGATCTATGGCATAGGTTCTCCCTGAGGATAAATTTTGATAGAATTTAGTTTTCGTAATCAGATTTTCAGAAAAATATACCTTTTAAAATTCAGCTATCTTCAGTGACGCTTTAAACACTGCAAAAAATTGACAAGATTAGGGAGGTCACTCTAGGTTTCAATGTTTTTTTTATTTTTTTATTTTTTTATTTTGTATTTTATTATTATTATACTTTAAGTTTTAGGGTACATGTGCACAATGTGCAGGTTAGTTACATATGTATAAATGTGCCATGCTGGTGTGCTGTACCCATTAACTCGTCATTTAGCATTAGGTATATCTCCTAATGCTATCCCTCCCCCCTCCCCGCACCCCACAACAGTCCCCAGAGCGTGATGTTCCCCTTCCTGTGTCCATGTGTTCTCATTGTTCAATTCCCATCTATGAGTGAGAACATGCAGTGTTTGGTTTTTTTGTCCTTGTGATAGTTTACTGAGAATGATGATTTCCAATTTCATCCATGTCCCTACAAAGGACATGAACTCATCATTTCTTATGGCTGCATAGTATTCCATGGTGTATATGTGCCACATTTTCTTAATCCAGTCTATCATTGTTGGACATTTGGGTTGGTTCCAAGTCTTTGCTATTGTGAATAGTGCCGCAGTAAACATACATGTGCATGTGTCTTTATAGCAGCATGATTTATAGTCCTTTGGGTATATACCCAGTAATGGGATGGCTGGATTAAATGGAATTTCTAGTTCTAGATCCCTGAGGAATCGCCACACTGACTTCCACAATGGTTGAACTAGTTTACAGTCCCAGCAACAGTGTAAAAGTGTTCCTATTTCTCCACATCCTCTCCAGCACCTGTGTTTCCTGACTTTTTAATGATTGCCATTCTAACTGGTGTGAGATGGTATCTCATTGTGGTTTTGATTTGCATTTCTCTGATGGCCAGTGATGATGAGCATTTTTTCATGTGTCTTTTGGCTGCATAAATGTCTTCTTTTGAGAAGTGTCTGTTCATATCCTTTGCCCACTTTTTGATGGGGTTGTTTGTTTTTTTCTTGTAAATTTGTTTCAGTTCATTGTAGATTCTGGATATTAGCCCTTTGTCAGATGAGTAGGTTGCGAAAATTTTCTCCCATTCTTTAGGTTGCCTGTTCACTCTGCTGGTAGTTTCTTTGGCTGTGCAGAAGCTCTTTAGTTTAATTAGATCCCATTTGTCAATTTTGGCTTTTGTTGCCATTGCATACTGAATGGGCAAAAACTGGAAGCATTCCCTTTGAAAACTGGCACAAGACAGGGATGCCCTCTCTTACCACTCCTATTCAACATAGTGTTGGAAGTTCTGGCCAGGGCAATTAGGCAGGAGAAGGAAATAAAGGGTATTCAATTAGGAAAAGAGGAAGTCAAATTGTTCCTGTTTGCAGATGACATGATTGTATATCTAGAAAACCCCATTGTCTCAGCCCAAAATCTCCTTAAGCTGATAGGCAACTTTAGCAAAGTCTCAGGATACAAAATCAATGTGCAAAAATCACAAGCATTCTTATTCACCAATAACAGACAAACAGAGAGCCAAATCATGAGTGAACTCCCATTCACAATTGCTTCAAAGAGAATAAAATACTTAGGAATCCAACTTACAAGGGACGTGAAGGACCTCTTCAAGGAGAACTTCAAACCACTGCTCAATGAAATAAAAGAGGACACAAACAAATGGAAGAACATTCCATGCTCATGGGTAGGAAGAATCAATATCGCAAAAATGGCCATACTGCCCAAGGTAATTTATAGATTCAATGCCATCCCCATCAAGCTACCAATGACTTTCTTCACAGAATTGGAAAAAACTACTTTCAAGTTCATATGGAACCAAAAAAGAGCCCGCATCACCAAGTCAATCCTAAGCCAAAAGAACAAAGCTGGAGGCATCACGCTACCTGACTTCAAGCTATACTACAAGGCTACAGTAACCAAAACAGCATGGTACTGGTACCAAAACAGAGCTATAGATCAATGGAACAGAACAGAGCCCTCAGAAATAATGCCGCATATCTACAACTATCTGATCTTTGACAAACCTGACAAAAACAAGCAATGGGGAAAGGATTCCCTCTTTAATAAATGGTGCTGGGAAAACTGGCTAGCCATATGTAGAAAGCTGGAACTGGATCCCTTCCTTACACCTTATACAATAATTAATTCAAGATGGATTAAAGACTTAAACATTAGACCTAAAACCATAAAACCCTAGAAGAAAACCTAGGCATTACCATTCAGGACATAGGCATGGGCAAGGACTTCATGTCTAAAACACCAAAAGCAGTGGTTTCAATGTTACTTTTAAAAAGTTAATGCTTGCAGGAGTAAGGTGGTATTGCATTGTGGTTTTCATTTGCATTTCCCTGATCTTTAGTGGTGTTGAGCATTGTTTCATATGTTTGCTGACCATTTGTAAATCTTCTATTGAGAATCATCTATTCATGTCATTAGCCCACTTTTAGGTGAGGTTGTTTGTTTTTTCTTGCTAATTTGTTTGAGTTCCTTGTAGATTCTGGATATTAGTCATTTGTTGGATGTATAGATTGTGAAGATTTTCTCCAAGTCTGTGGGTTGTCTGTTTACTCTGATGACTGTTCCTTTTGCTGTGCAGAAGCTCTTTAGTTTAACTAAGTCCCACCTATTTATCTCTGTTTCTGTTGCATTTGGTTGTGGATTCATGGTGATGAAGTCTTTGCCTAAGTCAAGGTCTAGAAGAGTGTTTTCGATGTTATCTTCTAGAATTTTTATAGTTTCAGGTCTTAGGTTGAAGTCCTTGATCCATCTTGAGTTGATTTTTGTATAAGGTGAGAGGTGAGAATCCAGTTTCAATCTCCAGCACGTGGCTTGCCAGTTATCCCAGTACCATTTGTTGAATAGGGTGTCCTTTCCCCACTTTATGTTTTTGATTGCTATGTTGAAGATCAGTTGGCTGTAAGTAGTCAGGTTTATTTCTGGGTTCTTTATTCTATTCCATTGTTCTATGTGCCTGTTTTTATAATAGCACCATGCAGTATTGGTAACTATGAGCTTATAGTATAGTTTAAAGTCAGGTAATGTGATGCCTCCAGATTTGTTCTTTTGCTTAGTCTGTCTTTGGCTATATGGGCTCTTTTTGGCTTCTATATGAATTTTAGGTTTACTCCTGCAAGAATGGCCATAGTCAAAAAAAAAAAAAGTAGATGTTACCATGGATGCAGTGAAAAGGGAACACTTCTACACTGCTAGCGGGAATGTAAACTAGTACAACCACTATGGAAAACAATATGGAAAGTCCTTAAAGAACTAAAGGTAGAACTACCATTTGATCCAGCAATCCCATTACTGGGTATCTACCCAGAGGAAAAGAAGTCATTATATGAAAAAGATACTTGCACACTAATATATATGTGTGTATATATATATTTCTTTACCCACTCGTTGATTGATGGGCATTTGGGCTGGTTCCACATTTTTGCAATTTTGAATTGTGCTGCTATAAATATGCATGTGCAAGTATCTTTTTCATATAATGACTGGAGGTTCACTCCAGACCCTGTTTGCCTGGATATCACCAGCGGAGGCTGCAGAACAGCAAAGATATTTATGATGGAATTGAGATATATATTATATATATATATAATATACATATTTATGATGGAATACTACTCAGCTATTAAAAGGAATTAATTAATGGTAATGGCATTCACAGCAACCTGGATGGAACTGGAGACTATTATTCTAAGTTAAGTAATTCAGGAATGGAAAACCAAACATCATATGTTCTCACTCATAAGTGGGAGCTAAGCTATGAGGATGCAAAGTCATAAGAATAATACAATGGAGACGGCTGGCAAGATGGCTGAATAGGAACAGCTCTGGTCTTCAGCTCCCAGCGAGACCAACACAGAAGGTGGATGATTTCTCCATTTCCAACTGAGTTACCCAGTTCATCTCATTAGGACTGGTTAGACAGTGGGTGCAGCCCATAGAAGGCGAGCAGAAGCAGGGTGGGGTGTCACCTCACATGGGTAGTGCAAGGGGTCAGGTAACCCTCCTGTAGCCAAGAGAAGCTGTGAGGGACTGTGCCCTGAGGGATGGTGCTACCTGGCCCAGATACTACGCTTTTCCCACAGTCTTCACAACCTGCAGAGCAGGAGATTCCCTTGAGTGCCTACATCACTAGGGCCCCGGGTTTCAAGCACAAAACTGGGCAGCCATTTAGGCAGACACCGAGCTAGCTGCAGGAGATTTTTTTTGTACTCTAGTGGCACCTGGAATGCCAGCAAGACAGAACCATTCACTCCCCTGGCAAGGGGGTTGAAGCCAAGGAGTCAAGTGGTCTTGCTCAGTGGATCCCATGCCCACAGAGCCCAGCAAGCTAAGATCCACTGGCTTGAAATTCTCGCTGCCAGCACAGCAGTCTGAAGTTGACTTGGGAGGCTCAAGCTTGGTAGAGGGAGGGGTGTCCACCATTACTGAGGCTTGAATAGGTGGTTTTCCCCTCACAGTGTATGCAAAGCCTCCGGGAAGTTCAAACTGGGTGGAACCCATTGCAGCACAGCAAAGCCACTCTAGCCAGACTGCCTCTCTAGATTCCTCCTCTCTGGGCAGGGCATCTATGAAAGAAAGGCAGCAGCCCCGGTCAGGGGCTTATAGATAAAACTCCCATCTCCCTGGGACAGAGCACCTGGGGGAAGGGGCAGCTGTGGGCACAGCTTAAGCAGACTTAAACTTTCCAGCCTACCAGCTCTGAAGAGAGCAGTGGATCTCCCAGCACAGTGCTTGAGCTCTGCTAAGGGACAGACTGCCTCCTCAGGTGGGTCCCTGACCCCCATGCCTACAGACACCTTATATAGGAGGGCTTCAGCTGGCATCTGGTGGGTGCCCCTCTGGGACGAAGCTTCCAGAGGAAGGAGCAGGCAGCAATCTCTGCTGTTCTGCAGCCTCTGCTGGTGATATACAGGCAAACAGGGTCTGGAGTGGACCCCCAGCAAACTCCAGCAGACCTGTAGAAGAGGGGCCTGACTGTTAGAAGGAAAACTAACTAACAGAAAGCAATAACATCAACATCAACAAAAAGGATGCCCGTGCAAAAACCCCATCCAAAGGTCACCAACATCAAAGATCAAAGGTAGATAAATCCATGAAGACGAGGAAAAAACAGTGCAAAAATGCTGAAAATTCCAAAACCCAGAATGCCTCTTCTCCTCCAAAGGATCACAACTCCTCGCCAGCAAGGGAACAAAACTGGACAGAAAATGAGTTTGACGAATTGACAGAAGTAGGCTTTAGAAAGTAATAACAAACATATATGTTTATTGCAGCACTACTCACAATAGCAAAGACTTTGAACCAACCCAAATGCCCACCAATGATAGACTAAATAGAGAAAATGTGACACATATACACCATGGAATACTATGCAGCCATAAAAAAGAATGAGTTCATGTCCTTTGCAGGGACACGGATGAAGCTGGAAACCATCATTCCCAGCAATTTAACACAAGAACAGAAAAACCAAACACCACATGTTCTCACTCATAATTGGGAGTTGAACAATGAGAACACATGGATACAGACAGGGAGGGGAACATTAAAAACCAGGGCCTGTTGGAGGGTGAGAGGCAAGGGGAGGGGTAACATTAGGAGAAATACCCTTGCACATGTATACCTATGTAACAAATCTGCATGTTCTGCACATGTATCCCAGAACTTAAAGTATTTTTTTTAAAAAAAGAATGATAATATGAACTTTGGGGACTTGGGGGTAAGGGTGGGAGGGAGTAGGGATAAAAGACTACAAATTGGGTTCAGTGTATACTGCGCGGGTGATGAGTGCACCAAAATCTCACAAATCACCTCTAAATAACTTACTCATGTAACCAAATGCCACTTGTTCCCCAGAAACCTATGGACATAATTTTTTTTAAAAAGTTAATGATTACATTTAAAATAAAATTTGATTGCTATCTGTGGCTTCAGATTGATCTTCAAAGTGTATTTCATCAACGTGATTGAAGATATTTTGGGATTACAGAGAAAGCATCAGAATGCAAAGAGGTTTATTCAGGGTCTTGATCATTTTAAGTGATCTGCAAAACTGGATATGTAGTGTACAAAGTTGGTAGAGAAAATTTACATATAAAGTTCCACTAGTATATAATCTTGTGAAATAATGCCAAGTCTGCAATCTAAAATGAAAGTTAAATCAAGCAAACCTAGCGTGATTCTGAAGATGTGCCATGAAAATTCCACATCTTCCCTTCTGTTATCAATTTTTTAAGAAAGGTTAATATTAAAAATAAGCTTCCATTAAGTTGGATTTTTTCTTTTTTTCCTTTTTGTTTCAGCAGAATCACTGTTGTCCCAAGAATAAGTAAAAAGGAAGTGAGATGGAATTGATAAAGAGTATATGTTTAATTTTTTCCTGAGGTAAATTGGGATAATTCAAGTATACCATAATATTCAATTGAAGTAATGAGAATTTCTGATTGAGGACCCTCTATGACTAACTCTCTCATTTAATCTCAATTAATCTTCACAGTAAAACAGTGAGTTCAGTAGTACTGCTATCACCATTTTTTAGGAATCTATAGAAGTTACTTGCCTAATGGAAGACAGGTAATAAATGGTTCAGTCCTAACATAGACTCAGTCATCTTGAACTAGAGTCTGCACTGGCAATTATGCTATAATTATTATATGTAATGATAATTGTTATAGTTTATATAATTATAGCTGTGACAGGTTCTAAAAGACATTTTGAAGGCTACATTATGATTTTATACATATAATGAGGACTGTTTTTTAGTTTTAAAGACATTGAGACAAAAGCCAACATGATAATCAGAAAGAAGTCACAGAGCCATGTGTATTAGTCCGTTTTCACACTGCTGATTAAGACATACCTGAGACTGGGTAATTTATAAAGAAAAAAGGGTTTAATGGACTCACAATTCCACATGGCTGGGAGGCCTCACAATCATGGTGAAAGGCAGAAGGCACATCTTACATGGCAGCAGACAAGAGAAAAGTGAGAAACAAGTGAAAGGGGTTTCCCTTTATAAAACCATCAGATCTTGTGAGACTTATTCACTACCAGCAGAACAGTATGTGGGAAACGGCTCCCATGGTTCATTTATCTCCCACCATGTCCCTCCCACAACATGTGGGAATTATGGGAGCTACAATTCAAGATGAGTTTTGGGTGGGGACACAGCCAAACCATATCACCTTGATATGTGCATGCATCAGAACCAAGTTAAAAGATAACTAGGGGGAGGCATGATTATTTGTTGTTTTAATATAAACATAAAGATAATAAGATATGATTTGAGTAACATCCAATACAATACAAATAAAATTATTATTAAATCAGCATCCTTGTGGTTTGTAGATGGAAGAAACTGGTGAAGAGAACTGTATCATAACAAGCATTCACCTAAAGATCATGCATTTTCTCATATTTAAATTTATATTAAAAATATGATCTTTTATCTTATTAGTGTCATCAAAACCATTCCCAAATCTTGTATTTTCACCAAAATTGTCCTAGCTTTTCAAAAACAACTGCTTTTTAATATGAAAGAGATATAAGTAATTTGATATTTTTCTTGGTGTGCCAGCTGTGAGTTTACCTTCATTTCAGATACAGAAACAGGTTAGACATGAGTCCAAAAGTATGGATATAAATCACCCAGGCATTTAAAGGGTTAGGCTTTCTTCTTTTATAGTCAGCCCTTCTTTTTCATTAAGACAGTAACAATGGAAGGGAAAGTAATTTATATTCCAAGTCAAAGAAAAATGGAGATCATAGACCTGTTTGAATGAGAGAGAAGCCTGGAACAAGAAGATAACGATTTTACCTTCAAGTGTCTGAATTATTTCTTGTATTGTGGAGGTTGAGAGGCTTAGTCCTAGTTAGAGAGATGAATAAGCAAGCCGCTGTCAGTGTTCAGATCCTCAGGTGCTCAAGTGTGGAATGGGCCAGCAGAATGCACATGAGCTGGAAACTGGCACAGAGTAAGGAGCTGGACAAAAGTGAATAGAAGGACTAGGTTTGTAGTGTATTTGGTCTATAGGTGCAGTGGTAGGATTCTCTGATTTTTTAAAGGTTGTATAGGAGGTATACTGGTAAGTGTGAAGATATTAATGGCCTTTAAGTAACCAAATTAAAGTAAGTGAAAAAGGTGATAAAACTATCAAAATGGGATTTCAGACTTTAAAAATTTGACAGATTTTTAAGAATATATTTAACAAATTATTGGATTCATCTATCGATGCATCCATTTGTCCATTTAACAAAAACTCTTTGTGAGATGGTAAGATGCTAGAGATTCCATATGAATAAAGCAGATATGCTCCCTGTCTTACAATCTGTAGTGGAATAATCTTACAAGTTGTAGAGCAATAAATTAAATAAATAATTTTATGTACTTAATAGTTGTAATTGAAATATGTGCTGTAAATGCCAAAGACAGGATGCTGTTAAAAATAATTAATAGTGAAATGTAATCTATCCTGAGGTTTTGGAGGTCAGTAAAATGTCATCCTGAAATTGAAGAAAAGTTGCTTAACTTTAAAACAATTTTACTTAGCCTGAGAGTGAAGGAGATAGCCAGGTGATAGGACTCAAGAAGTGAGCTTTACTGCAAAGGCCATGCTTATTTGAAAAAGAGAGAGAAGGTCATTGTAACTGAAAGTGTAAGCAGTGAGCAATCGGATCATCCAGGGAATTTTAGAACATTTTGGAATTATTGAACTTTGTTAGTCAAAAAATTCCTAATACAAAAATTGACATTAATTTACAGATAGAAAAATAACACAGCACTTCAGAAAAATAAATGTTTCAAAAAGCTGAACTCAGAAATATTCTGGCTAAATTAATGAATATCAAGATAGAAAAAATAATTCTGCCTATTTGTAGGTAGAAAAAAGAGCCCCTTCCACTTAAAAGTGGGAACAACCAACCTGGCCTTAGACTTCTACCCAGCAACATTCAATGTTAGAAATAAAACTAGGAACATACTCATATGGTTTCGCTGTGTCCCCACCCAAATCTCATCTTGAATTGTAGTTCTCATAATCTCCACGTGTCATGGGTGGGGCCCAGTGGGAGGTAATTTAATCATGGGGGCAGTTACCCTCATGCTGTTCTCATGATAGTGAGTTCTCATGAGATCTGATGGCTTTATAAGGGGCTCTTCCTCCTTCTGCTCGACAGTTCTTCTTGCTGCTACCATGTGAAGAAGGACATGTTTGCTACCCCTTCCACCATGTTTGTAAGTTTCCTGAGGCCTCCCCAGCCATGGTAAACTGTGAGTTAATTAAAACTCTTTCCTTTATAAATTACTCAGTCTTGGGGAAGTCTTTATTAGCAGCATGAGAACTGACTAATACATATACACATATTTTCAAGTTATAGGACATATCAGCAAGAAATGTCAACCCAGCCTCAAAGATATTCAAGAATAAAAATAAAATTGGTAGAGAAAATGCACTCAGTTAAGTACCACACTGAAAGACATTTGAGTTGCTCCAATCTGTTTCTATTACCAGTAATGCTATAAACATAATTATGAAGGTCCACAAATAAATCTCTAGGATGAGTCCTCCATGATGGAATTACTTCTAGAATATTTTAAGATTTGAATTTAATATCTACATTTTAAGCTTCATAGAAGCTTTAGCATTATAGTGACCTTCTTTCACCTAACAGTTTTTTAACCTAGGTTTCAAATTTGTCATTTATATAAACAGGTTAAACATCCCTTATCCAATAATCTGAAACTCGAAATGGTAAAAAAAACCTGAAACTTTTTGAACATTGACATGAAGCCACAGTTGGAAAATTCCACACCTGACTTCATATGACAGGTTGCAGTCAATAGAATGAATGATTGAAGGATTAGATAGTGCAGGTGCACAACACACAGCTTATTCAGTGCCTTAAGGGGAAAAAAAGACCCTCCTAACACCCATCAGCTATGATATATCTTTTCTGCACATGCCCAGATTCCCTCATGCAAGCACACTCACAAAAGGCAATAAAATGGCACACGTGTAGGCTGGATGCACCAAGGCAATTTCCTTACAATGGCCCACAAAGGGGTCAAGACCAACAGACATTACTCATTGTACTTTTTTTGCTTACTCTGCTTTTTGATGTAAAGATATTGTTAAAAATGTCAAAAAGGCCTGCAGATATCCCAATGGGTAACAGCGATGAGAAAATGAGGAAACATTTTGTTTATAGTACAGAAAGTCAAGCTGTTAAGAGAAACTGGACAGCAGCGTCTCAGTGTGAAATGTCTTCCAGAAGAGTATGGTGTTGGAATGAAGACCGTATACCACCTGAAGAAACAGAAGGAAAAACTGTTGAAGTTCTATGCTGAAAGTGATAAGCAAAAGTTACTAAAAACTAGAAAATCCCTGCATACATTGCCCAATTGTGAAAGAGACAAAATGGTTCCGAATCAAGGTGATTGTGATAATAGTAACAATGAAGATGATATTAACAGTGCAGAGAAATGTGTCTGTAGACTAACATGGCAAAAATGTGTGATGGGCTTACAGAAGAACTAAAGCAGTGGGCAGTGATAACAGAACAAGAATTCATGTCAGTTTATAAAATCAAAGAGAAACTTCGAAGACAAAAACATAAATGAGGCAGCATTAACGAGGAAATATTATTTTAAAGCCAACAGCAGAATGCTTCTTTCTCCCTAGAGAACCCATTTCCTAGTCCCCCGACTGCTTCTGATGTTTCTTCTCATCGAAGGAAATAAAATACAGTGTATTTTAATCAAAACACAGCATTGCAGGTGGGGACTACGTGCTTGCAGTTGTTTGCTGCTGCTCTTTCACAGCTGATAGAGGTATTCTGGTGATGCCACTGTGCTGCTTAGTTACCCTAAACACATTAGTTTTTCACTATATTAATGGTATGCCATATTGTTTACTTTTAAGCACTTTTGTGTGAATAAGTGTAAGAAAATGATTACTTATTGTTAGGATATAAATTCAGAGTCAGGAATGATGACAATGCCAAACAACCAGAGATTGTCCACATAGGTGGCTGAGACAGTGACACCTTTACTTTCTGATAGTTTAATGTACATGAACTTCATTTCATGCACGAAATAACTAAAAAAATTTTTATAAAATTACCTTCAGGCTATGTGAAACTTAAATGAATTTTGGGTTTAGACCTTGTTCCCATTTCCAAGATATCTCATTATGTGTATGCAAATATTCTAAAATCAGAAAAAAAACTGAAATTCTAAACACTTCTGGTCCCAAACATTACAGATAAAGGATATTCAACCTGTATATGTCATAATATGCTTTTCTTTTGCTTCCATTTGCATTTTTGCTTTTTGAAGAACCAAAGTATACAACAGTCAAGAGCACAATTTCTGGAGTCAGACTGCTTGGGTTCAAAATGCAGTTCTGCCCCTTTCAATGGAAACCTGAGAAAGATACATATCTCTTTATCATTCTTGATTCTTGAAATATGGATAAATAATACCTACCTCATAGATCAGGGTGAGGCTTAATAAATTATTTTGTATCCAGTGATTTACATACTGTTAATCTGAGGTAGATATTGTTATTACATAGTAAGACCTGTATATAATTCACTTTACTTCCTAGTCTCTGGAATTCTTTGGTTCCAAATGTACCTCTTGCCCCTTAAATTTAAAAAGGAAAATCTCTGCAATAGCATGTATATTTGACTCTTAGATTAGAGAACAAATATAGCTAAATGTGAAATAAAAGTTTTGGGATAATACCACTTTTACTTATGCATTGATTTGAAGCTTTATGATATTGCTAATATTCGATAATTTTGATCTGCAAAAATGGCAACTAAATATGCTTCAATCTAATACATGAATAAGAAGGGCCTTTTCATGGCAGGTTAGCTGATTCATAACATAGGAATTACTTAATATTAAAAATGTCATCCTTTAAGATCCAGCTCTAATGTTATTTCTTTTCTAAAGAATTTCTCACCTTATGCAAAAATATTTGTCATTTGCACAAACGGACTTTCATGACACTTTACGATGGTTTTACCTTCATCTTTACATTCTTACTCTGTAAATATGACTTTCGCTAATAGTAGACCAATTTTGTCACTTTATCTTTTAATGATCAGCACTGAGTTTTATATCTCTCATATAGTAGGTACTCAATATACATTTATGTAGTTAAAAAATGGATGCACTGGTGTATGCATGGGGCAGGCATAAATAGAACTATCTTTATGTGTTGGTCTGCACAATTAATACATTATCAAAAGCTTTCTCCCCCAATTAATCTCCACTTCTGATTTATTAATTTAAAAAGTTAAACAATTAGATTTTCTGCCCCTTGGTTTAAACCAGTGAATAGTTTGAACAAATGCCATAAGAAATTTTTTTTCAGTAGCTGTTATGAATGGGCCTTGCTGAGCCATTCCTTAGAACAGGTTTTAATTTATATATAAAAGTATTAACTAGATGGGAGATTTAGTAATATTAGAAGTGGGAGCCTAATAGGTAATGAGCAAACAATGAAAAATTGTATCAGTTTGTTAGATCTGCTTCTGGTAGGCAGAAGCAGATCTTGTCTTCTTTCACAGATTAGAAAACCAGAGAGCTTTATTAGTAATGCTGTATTATAAAAAAATAGCCAACATTTCTTAAACGTCTACCATGTGATAGACATGTCCTAAGCATTTTATATATGTTCCCGCATTTATTTCTTATTGAAGCTCACAAAATAACCAACACTATTACCTGCTCTTATGAATAGAGTAACTGAGACATAGGGAGGTTAGATGTTTTCCCTAAGGTCATATAGCCAGTTAGTAGAAGAGCTAAAGTTCATACCCAGACATCTACTCAAGAGCTGTGTGGTTAAGCATTATTCAGAGCAGCTTTTCTGGGATGGGTATCTTCTGTTTGACTTCTTTGCAGATACACTTTTCCTCCTTCTCAATCCTGCTTTCCTGGAGGCTGACCAAGCTGCTATTAATGGGCTCACTTGCCTTCCAGCCACAGGTAGGGTTTGGTCTATACGGCATAAAAGCAGAAGAGAAAATGAGAAGAGAATGAGGTCAGGACTCTGATTAAGCCATGAAATTTTATTTTAAATGTGAACATCAACAGAATAATTATATTGAAACTTACATTGACCTCCCTAATCTTGAAGATTTTTGAGTTATTTAACATTCCACTGCAGATAGTTGAGTTTTAGAAGATACAACTTTCTGAAAAATCAATGACAAAATTGGTTGCCCTGCTTCTCTCCCTGTTACATTACTAAGAATTGGCTGTGTCTCTATATAAAGACCAGAGTTCCTTTAGGTGATCTCTGCACATCATCACACCCTCCATATTCCAATAACTTTTGTCCCTTCAGGTATAGAGGTAGGAAAATCTCCCAGTGTTACTAGCCCTATGGGGTCTGCACTATCCCTTTTTGGATTATTTAAACCCTGCACATAACTTTTAAAAAGTGTCTCTAGTTCTTATCACATTATCCTGTTTGTGTGTTCCAGTTATTTCCTACCCAAAATCATGACTGAATAATTGTCTAATAAAGCATTCAATTATATTTTTGAAAACATTATGCCATGATGTCATATGATTATGCTTTTTTGCTCAATATATAGCAAGCACATTAGTGCTGAGCACATGTGAACTGCTTAATTAATTAAGTGCTTATTTACTGTAAAATTTTGATGCTTTTAAATTAATTAAGATGCTGAAATAACATATGATTGTATTTAGAATTTATCATAATTTTGTTATTAAATGAAAATGATAAACCTTTCAAAAGGAATACTGGGAGATCTACTTTTCAAAAGAATAATGGTTAATCAGTGTGGCATTATTTCATGAAGTATTATGTCTAGAAGGCTTTAAAGTCAAAACAGAGAGGCATATGAAAGAGGTGTATACTTTTGCCCAATAAGAGTGAAAGAAATTTTTATCAGCAATTGATTTTAGTGATAGCTTATCTTCACTTCATATTATACAACACCCTAATAAAAATATATGATAGAGGACTCATCATTGTGGAAAAAAAAAAATGTTAATTGCAGGACAGTTCAAATGGTGGCCTTGGACTAACTCAGTTCTCCCTTTCTCGCTTGCAGTTCTCAAGAATAAGTGTAGAATGTTCTGGGAATGCAACATCCTGAAATACAGAGAAACAGGTTAGAATAGCCCAGTCTCCGCCTTTGTCCTTCCTGGGACAAGATATTCTACAAAACTTTAACCCATTGATTTGTGTTTCTTGGGGTTATAAAACCCAGGGCAGGTGTTTTTTGTAGTCACTTAGCAATGATATGAGGTGGGGTACCCGTAGATGAGAGTCCATTTGCCCTAGGCAGCTTTCCTGAGCCTTGGGAAATGGACCCACTATGAATCTCAGGCTTCTACTGTCCCTTTCTGCCTATCTGTAAGTAATAAAGTTGCTTTACTCAACTTGTGGGAGTATTCTATCCCAGTATACTCATACAAATCGTAGAAATTACAGCCCGAGTTGCAGTGGGCTGAAGTGGTAACCACTGTGTAGTGAACCTGCTTTGCACTTATTTAACAAGTGATTGAAGGAATTAAGTATTATTTACTTAAAGATTCTCTAATCCCAAACTGTTATTTCCTGAAGTCCTGAGAAATAGAATAAGAACATAGCTTTCTGGATTCCAAAATTACTGTTCTTTCCAGTGCATCCCACCACTTTAATGACAGTATGCTAATGAACATGCACACCTCTGTAGAATTATTTATAATGACATTTCTGAAAAAGTTTTATGCATTTATGTTTTAGGCAGATGCTAAACCCCACTGAACAATGGTTTCTTAAAGAGTAAACCCATTTTATCCAAAAGAGGTCACATGGCTGTGTGGTATCTTGACTGATGAAAGCCACAAATGACATTTCTAGACTTGGACCCAGGACCTCCTATGTGATATCCTACCTTCCCTCTTTCTTTGCTTGCTGTCTGTCAGCCAAATATAAAGAATCCAGGAAAAGACTCCTAAGACCTAGGGAATGTACATAAGTGGATACACGGTAAAGAGTTATTTATTCCAACCAGCTTAAACTATGAAATGAGCAAGCAATGTATTGTGTTAAGATTCTGAGATTCGTGGTTTTGTTTTATACTTAGGTTTCCCTGATTGATACAGAAATTGAAGGTAACTTTCTTCACATGATAAAAGCTCTCTACAAAATAATAACATTATTATTATTTGCATAGCAAATGTAAAATACTAAAAGTATTTTTATTGAAATGCAAAATAAATGTTACCATTACTTCTTTTTTCAAAATTGTATTAATACTCAACAATGCATCCAATCAAGAAAAATAAACAATAATTAAAAAAGAAAGAGTAAAATAAAAAAGTAATTAATGACAAAACATTATTAAAATTAATATGAAGATTTAGCATAATTGCTAGACATAAAATCAGTCATAATTATCAGTTGCATTTCTATCCTACAGTAACAAGCATGTTTGTTGTTTACAAGATAACAATGACATACATACAGTTTGAATATAACAAAGAATAACTGAAGAAATAAGTTGAACAAAAATATATAAGACCTTTATGTTGAAAAAATACAGTGAAAGAACTTCAAAAAACCTGAAATAACTGTAGATATACAATGCTCATGGATAAGATGTCTCGGAATTCTAAAATTACTTTTGGTCCTGAATTGCTCTCTAGATTCACTACATTTTTAACAAAATGTTAACATGGTCCTAATGGATCATGTCAAGCTGATTTTAAAATGTACATTAAAGGCCGGGTGTGGTGGCTCATGCCTGTAATCCCACCACTTTGGGAGGCCAAGGCAGGTGGATCACCTCAGGTCAGGAGTTCGAGACCAGCCTGGCCAACATGGTGAAACCCTGTCTCTACTGAAAATACAAAAAATTAGCCGGACATGGTGGTGGCTGCCTGTAATCCCACATACTCAGGAGGCTGAGGCAGGAGAATCACTGGAACCGAGAAAGTGGAGGTTGCAGTGAGCTGAGATTGCGTCACTGCACTCCAGCCTGGGTGACAAGAGCAAAACTCCATTTCAAAAAAATTTCAAAAAGAAAAAAATATGTATATATATAAAAGTTCAAATGCCAAAAATTATCAACACTCTTTAAAAAGATTATCTCTTTGAGGAAAGAGGGTAGGCCAACTACTTATCAAGACTTGTTAAAAGAAAATTAAGAAAATGTTTATTAAGAAAGTATAGCAAAGTTTATTGTCATAGGAATATGAGATTAGGCTAATAAAACAGAAACATGATATGACAGCCAACACTGAAGATCTCTGGGGAAAATTCACTATTCTATAAGTTGTACTGGGACATCTGGGTACTTGAAAAAATACAATGTGATCTCTCCTCTATGACAAATAATTTTGGAAGACATGTTTAAAAAGAAAACATAGGAGAATATCTTTACATCCCTAGGGTAAGAACTCATGATATTTAAAGAGTGAAAACCATAAAGAAAAATATTGAAAATTTTGATACTTAAAAAAAAAACTTCTATTTGTCAAAAGTCACTAGGAAATGTGAAAAGATAAACCATAATCTGGGAAATAGCATTTTAATGTAAATAGTTCTAAATAGAATAGCGTAGCATATAGAATATATGCAAAACACCTATTTATTTTAAACCTAATGATTTAATAGAAAAATGAGCAAAAGTCTTGAACAGGTATTACAGAGGAAAGGAAACATAAATGTTCAATAAAATATGAATCAACATTCAACCATATTAATGCTTAGAAAAATGCAAATTAAAATTCTTATGAAATGATTCACACCTTGTAGATTTATAAAAATGTAAAACGTGTTACAATACTAAATGTTGGCAGTGTTGTGCAACAACAGAAATTATATCCTATGGTTGGGGAGTGTTAACTGATTGAGGCATTATGAAAGATAACCTGTCATTACTAAGTAAGGTTTAACATATATATACTTGATGACCCAAAAATTTCATTTTCATGTGCAAATCTTAGAGAATAGTTTATCTTGTTTTGAATATCTGAGACAGAATATTCGTAATACCATATATATTTTTGTTTTTTTGTTTCGAGACGAAGTCTCACTCTTGTCCCCCAGACTGGAGTGCAATGGCACTATCTCGGCTCACTGAAACCTCTGCCTTCTGGTTTCAAGTGATTCTCCTGCCTCAGCCTCCCGAGTAGCTGGGATTACAGGCACCTACCACCACGCCTGACTAATTTTTGTATTTTTAGTAGAGACGGGGTTTCACCATGTTGGCCAGGCTTGTCTTGAACTCCTGACCTCAGGTGATCCGCCCACCTCGGCCTCCCAAAGTGCTGGGATTACAGGTGTGAGCCACTGCCACCGCGCCCGGACTTCGTAATGTTAGTGTCAGTAATAACAAAAAAAGAAACCTTGAAACTACCGAAAGGTATGTGAACAGTAGAATGAACAAAAACAAAATTATAAGATATCAAACAATGGAATTTTCTACAGCAGTATAACTCAATGAATTGTGGATAAATGCACCCACAGATTTCAACCTTACAATTATATATTGAGAGAATATGCAAAGAATAGAGAATCATACATGTGGTAGGATTACAGTTATAAATGAGTATAGTAAAAAATAAAAGAAAATGCTCTTAGTAGGAATATACGTGTTTGCTAAAACTATCAAAGAATAGCAAGGAGATAAGTATCTCAAAATTTTACAAATGGCTTCCTACAGGTTTAAGTAGAAAAGTGACACAAGGTGACTTCAAAGGGCTGGGTATTATAATATTTCTTACATTCCATGTATAGAGGCATTCTCTTATTATGAAAACCTAGATAGATAGATAGATAGATAGATAGATAGATAGATAGATAGATAGATAGATAGAGATATGTATAAAATAAACACTTTTATATGTGTAATCTTTCACAATTAAAAAGAGAAAAAAATTATAAAGTACCATTTTTCCACATTTATGGAAAGAGAGAGTACAAGAACGTAGTGAGAAGTTTTATGAAAGTGAGATAATTGAACTTGTTTACAGACTGGAAGGAAGGTACATAAGTGATGATGAAATTTATAATACTGGATCAAATTAAATTATGGATGAAGCAGGGTCTTTAAAGAAATGGAGTGAAAGTAAACTTCAGTGAGAGGAATATCTTTTCCCAGGAGTCGGGACATCCCTTTGAGACCAGAATAAAGCGGCTGAAGATGAGTGGAGTTACAGTAATTTAGTTACTCTGGAGTAAGGCATCTGAGAGAATTCATACTTTGTAGTTTTAGTTTTTCCTTGTGAAAAAAGAAGAGGCAAGTTCTTGCTCAGAAAGTGTGAGATGGCAGTAGAGGAGAGAAAAGAAGAAAAATAT
The DNA here is from genome assembly GCF_000001405.40 of Homo sapiens. Taxonomy (NCBI): domain Eukaryota; kingdom Metazoa; phylum Chordata; class Mammalia; order Primates; family Hominidae; genus Homo; species Homo sapiens. The sequence goes on along the minus strand of NC_000006.12, from coordinate 95,440,166 downwards.
TTACATGGTCAACATACAGCTGTTCATTGATACCTGATTCTCATCTTCTTCTGGGCACCATGAAGCACCAAATTCCTGCCCTTTTGTGATTTAATGGGACCAGACTTCTAATTCTGGTCAATGAGTTTTGGGCAGAAGTGGTGTGTGTCACCTCCAAGCTGGAGCACTCCTCCTGAATGCCAGCTGTACTTTGACCTTCCTCAGTAACTGTGGAAGAATGCGTCAACATGGATGCTACATCGGCCTTGATGCCTGAGTGATAATGAGGAACACAGCCCCTGGCCACTCTATTCAGACAAGTAGAGTGAGTGAAAAGCAAACATTTGGTTTTCAATATTATGAACATTTCAAAATTGTTTGTTATCTAATGTAATATACCTGATACAGTTTAGAATAGTTGTTTGGCTTTTGTTTACTTTATTTTTGTGAGGTTTTTTTGGATTTTTTTTTTTTTTTTTTTTTTTTTTTTTTAATAAGGAGAATGGGAGAGTAACCTCAGGAGCAAGTAACATTCTTGCTTACTGGCACTTGGGATCTAGTTTTAGTTCCTGCAAAACACATTATTTGGGTTTTTAAATCTGTTTCCTTGTTTCTAATTTTAGTTTTACTTTTCAATGTTGGCTTTTGAGGTGTGCTTCTTTGATGCCTAGTTTGTTGAGGTTTCTATCATGAAGGGGTGTTGAATTTTATCAAAGCCTTTTCTGAATTTATTGAGATAATCACACAGTTTTTGTTTTTAATTCTGTTTATGTGATGAATCACATTTCCTAATTTGTATATGTTAAACCAGCCTTGCATCCCAGGAATAAAGCCTACTTTATCATGGTGGATTATTTTTTTAATGTGCTGCTGGATTTGGTTTGCTAGTATTTTCTTGAGGATTTTTATGTCTATGTTCATCAGGACTACTGGCCTGAAACTTTCTTTTTCACTGTGTCTCCCAGGTTTTGGTATCAGAATGATGCTGGCCTGATAGAATGAGTTAGGGAGGAGTAGCTCCATCTCCATTTTTTTGAATAATTTCAGTAGGATTGCTACCAGCTCACCTTTGTGCATCTGGTAGAATTAAGCTGTGAATCCAACTGCTTTAGGGCTTTTTCTGGATGGTAGGGTTTTTTTTTAAATTACTGATTCAATTTCAGAACTCATTATCAGTAAGTTCAAGATTTTGGTTTCTCTCTGGTTCAATCTTGGGAGGCTGTATGTTTCCAGGAATTTATCCATTCCTTTCATGTTTGTAGTTTATAACAGGGTTTATTGTATTTCTCTGGGGTCCATGGTAATGTGTTGTCTGTCATTTCTGGTTGTGTTTATTTGGATCTTCTCTTTTTTTCTGTATTAATCTATTAATCTGGCTAGCAGTCTATCAATCCTATTTATACTTTTGAAGAACAAATGTTTGGCCTTCTGGTATTTTGTATGGGTTTTCATATCTCCGTTGTTCAGTTCAGCTCTGATTTTGGTTATTTATTTTCTTTTGCTACCTTTGTGGTTGGTTTTCTCTTGTTTTTCTCGTTCCTCTAGGTGTGATGTTAGGTTGTTAATTTGAGATCTTACTAACTTCTTCATGTAGGCATTTAGTGTTATAAACTTTCCTCTTGACACTGCTTTAGCTATATCCCAGAGATTCTGTTATGTTGTGTATTTGTTTACATTCATTTCAAAAAATATTTTGATTTCTGCCTTAATATCGGCCTTTATCCAAAATTTGTTCAGGAGTAGGTCATTTAATTTGCATGTAAATTTGTGGTTTTGAGACATCTTTTTGGTATTGATTGAAAGTGATTTATATACCAGAAACAACTGGCTGAAGAATTGGAGAGTCATCAAACCAAGGAAAGGATTTTCCTAAAAAAATCTATACTAGTTGGACAATAAAAAGGAACATTGTTTATGAATAAATTTAGGAGGGTACTCAAAACTGAGAAGTAGAATCAATTTTAGAGTTTCAAGTAGAGATCACATGGATAGTTAAGTTAATAGCACTCAAAACATGTAAATAATTTCTTAGTCACACAAATATAAAAATACCACTGTTGCCTTAAGAAATTGTCCTGTCACCCTGTCAAATTTCTATAAAAAGGCAAACAAACTAATATATTTTTAAAACAAATCTCCACCAAATATTATCAACATTTGAATTATTTTCTTCATGCTAAAAATTTTAAGCCAGATCACTTTATTCTTGAAGTAAGAAGACAGATGTCTTTAAAGAAGCTTCCAATTTATTCTAACATATAATTTCTGAAATTAGTTTCATAAATTTATAAATTATTAAGTGATGCAACGTTTCTAGATATTCAAAATTAAATATGTTATACTGTATGTTTAATTACACTTATATATAAAGTTCAAATAAAATAAAACAGGATATAATTCTCTAGAATATTCAGCATTTTTAAACCTTTTCTTTGTACCATTATCTAATATCTTTGCATAGGTAAATCCTATAAATTCCATCTCAGAATAATATTTTAATACATTAAACATATAATTACAATGAAAAGTAATAATAACAAATATATTACTAAAACATAGCCTTTGAAGGAATGATGTAATGGCTCTAGATTAAGAATCTAGAAAATATATATTTCATTAAAATGATTATTTTCGCCTGAATATAAACTTCTTTAAAAGTTTTTAATCACGGATTAATGGTATACAGAACTGTTGATTTCTATATGTTCATCTTGTATGTGGTCACTTAATTATCTTCTTAGTTATAATAGTATTTCTGTTAACTCTCTTTTCTAGATACACAATACAGTAATAACATCTGCAAAAAAACTTGTTTCAGTATTTAATGTTTATAAATAATATTTTTTGATTATGTAAGTAATATAAGCTTACTGCAAAAAAATGAAAAAACACAGAAAAATATGTAGAGATGTCTTGTCAATATTTAATGTACACATTTCCAGAAAGTTGGTATTGTTTCATTTTAATAAAATCCTGTTATTTCCAACAACGTTGATGAATTGGAGGATATTATGTTAAGTGAAATAAGCCAGGCACTGAAAGACATTCTCACTAATATGTGGGAGCTAAAAAAAAATATATTGAACTCCTGGAGATAAAGAATAGAATGATGTAAAATGCCAGAGGCTAGGAAGGGTAGCTTGGGGGAAGGACAAAGAGGGGATGATTAATGCGTACATACATACAGTTGGAAAGAAGAAATAAGATTGAGTGTTCTGTAGTACAATAGAACAACAACAGATAACAATAATTTATCGGACACTTAAAAATAACTAAAAGGATGGCACTGGAATGTTCCTGACACAAAGGAACATTGTGTTGAAGTGATGAATATCCCAGTTACCCTGATTTGATCATTACACATTTTTTGCTGTGTCAAAATATCAGGTGTACCCCATAAATATTTACAACTATTATGTATACGTAGTAAATACAAATTTAAAAAATAAAAATACATCTCTAACATATCCAAAGCTGGTAAAGAAAGGGAGTGAAAGCCATTTCATTTGCCTTAGGCAAAAGGATCTTTACTGCATTGCTAATATTCCCTATTGACAGCTTAGTAATAGCTATCAAAAATTTTATGACTATACCTTTGACTCAGCTATTTTACCTTTAAGATTTCTTCTGAGCAAAAACCTCATAAATTTGCACAAAAATTATCTACAACTATGTTTATGGTAATAGTTTGAATAAAATTGGCTACCGTTCACTCAGTGCTTACTATGTGCCAAGTATTATGCTAAAACTTTTATGTACATCACCTCATTTCAACCTTGTAAAAACCTCATTGCCCCTTTCTTTTTAATTTCCATTAACAGGGAAGACTATTTAGGCTTAGATCTTAGGTGAGTTAGTCAAGAATACACAAACAATAAGTGTGTAAGTTAAAGTCATCCATCTCCAGAACCTGATAAAACAACAAAAGGGAAAAGGAAAAACAACTTAAACCATTTTTTAAAGGTACATTATAGCATATTAAACAATGGATTGTTATGAAGACATCTGCAAGTGACAATGCAAAGAAAAAATTAAGACATTGTAAAAATGTTCCCTAAAAGTTTGATCATATATACTTTGTAATCTAAGTGTTGATAAAATATACAATAAAATATTAATAGGCAGAAAATAAAATTGGGTGAATACTAAATATTTTATACATTTATATTTTCTTAATTATATATTGTAATACTTTCCATTTCATTCAATGATTACTTAGTATTTTATGTATGGATAATAAAATATACTTGATATTATGTTGAACCTTTAGGCTTTCTAATATTTCTCGTGATAAACAGTGCTGTAACGAGCATCCTTAAAAGTACTATTTGATCACATTAGTCTTGTATATTATTTTTATACAAATGAATTTTAAAATGCTGTAAAACACCTCTATATAATTATCTCAGTTTGAGGCTTTCATAGATGTTTCATTATCTATTTGTATATTTTAGTACCAGAATAACATTAGTTATATTATAGCTTCTCTATGATAAATTTTAGCATGTTTGTAACACAAGATCCTCATTATTATTTTTATTTTAATATGTACTATGCTTTCTCATCAATTTATGGTTTAATAAAATATTTAGAAATAGTTTTCAAAAATTTTAATGGTGATGTTAATTGGCATGTCTACTGCATAAATGTATCATGTATTTTTATTTCACTTGTTGACATGATAATTTTCATTTATCAGTGCTTTTTAATGTCAAAGTTTCATGTTAGGTTAATTCATCAAAAGTTGACATATTTGTTGCTATCATTAAAGTGTCTAATTTTAAATTTTATCTAATTTATTTTGAAATACTGGAAAAATGCTTATTAAATTTTTAATAGTTTATTGGTTGATTCTTCTGGGTTTGTTAGGAAATGTCAAATCATCTGTTAATATTAATGATGTTTTGTTCCAAGTCTTTTCTTGACTAGCACATAAAAAACACCGCTAAATGATGCAAAAGCTTTGGCTGTCTTGTTCTTGACTAAAATGGAAATGTATTTGATGTTTGAGCTGATGCAATTTGTTGCCTTTAATTTACTATAGAATTTTAACATATTTTATTATGTTAATAGATTTCTAAATATTAAACCGTTTTGCATTTCTAGATAAAAATGCTACTTTTCTTCAGTGTATTTAATATATTGCTAAACTCCACTTGCCAATGTTTTTTGAATAACATTTTCATCATTTGTTTGTATTCAGATTTCTTTTTTTTTTTTTTTTTGAGACGGAGTTTTGCTCTTGTTGCTCAGGCTGGAGTACAATGGCACGATCTCGGCTCACGGCAATCTCCGCCTCCCGAGTTCAAGCCATTCTCCAGCCTCAGCCTCCTGAGTAACCGGGATTACAGGTGCCCGCTGCCATGCCTGGCTAATTCTTCTATTTTTAGTAGATACGGGGTTTCACCATGTTGGCCAGGCTGGTCTTGAACTCCTGACCTCGTGATCCACCCGTCTTGGCCTCCCAAAGTGCTGGGATTACAGGCTTGAGCCACAGCATCCGGCCCTTTTCAGTACATTTTTTTTTTCTTTATTTTTTTGAGACGGAGTTTCTCTCTTGTTGTCCAGGCTGGAGTGCAATGGCACGATCTCAGCTCACCACAACCTCCGCCCCTCTCCCCCTACCCGGGTTCAAGCAATTCTCCTGCCTCAGCCTCCTGAGTAGCTGGGATTACGGGCGTCCACCACCACGCCCGGCTAATTTTTTGTATTTTTAGTAGAGGTGGGGTTTCACCAGGTTAGCCAGGCTGGTCTCGAACTCCAGACCTCAGGTGATCCACCCGACTCGGCCTCCCCAAGTGCTGGTATTACAGGCGTGAGCCACCGTGCCCAGCCCTTTCAATACATTCTTTATCCATTCTCCTTTTTGTCTTTGTTATTAGATACGTTTCAGCTTCATAAAAGCAGCTCATTCATTAAGGAATGTTGTACATATTAAAAAACACGAGAAGGCTAGAAGCGGTGGCTCACGCCTGTAATCCCAACACTTTGGGAGGCCAAGGCCAGTGGATCACGAGGTTAGAAGATAGAGACCATCCTGGCCAACATGGTGAAACCTCGTCTCTACTAAAAATACAAAAAAAATTAATTGGGCATGGTGGCAGGTGACTGTAGTCCCAGCTACCCGGGAGGCTAAGGCAGGAGAATCGCTTGAACCCTGGAGACTGAGGTTGCAGTGACTGAGATCGCACCACTGCACTACAGCCTGGCGACAGAGCAAGTCTCTGTCAAAAAAAAAAAACAAAAACAAAATACAAAAAGAAACATCAGAAATATAATGGATATAATGGACCCCATGTTGGATTGTTGGATTGGCCAGAAGGGCAGACGTATAGAAACCAGGGTAGGTCAGCTGTGGAAGAAGGAAGGGGTAGTAGGAGGACATGAATTGTTGTAGAATCAGTTCTGGGAGTAAGATGGACTGAAACTAGCAACTTAGATGATTACCATAGATAAGAGTTATAGGTGTAGCTAGATAAAATAGAGAGGAATATTGAGAGGCAGAAAGGCATAGACAGCCGCTATTAAACTGTGTTAAACCAGAAGTGGATTTGAAGAGTGCAAATCACTCAGAAGAGTCTCAAAACGAATACCATATATAACGGGTTTTGAACAGCCCTTGACAATGTCTAAAACCAATTTTGTTGAGGTTATAATTGACATACAAAAACTTGTATATATTTAATATATACAGCTTCTTGAGTTTGGAGATACATATACACCTGTGAAACCATCACTGCAATCTATGCCATGAACCTATCCATCTCTTCCAGAAGTTTTCTTCTATCATCTTTGTTAATTATGATGATGAAGTGATGATGATGATGATGATAAAGAACACTTAACATAAGGTATATCCTCTTAACAAATGTTTGGGTTTTTATTACAGTATTGTTTATTATAGACATTATGCTGTGCAGTAGATATCTAGGACTTACCTTGTGAAATTAAAACTTATAACCCTTGGCAAATACCTTCCCATTTCCCCCTGCCCCCAGCCCCTGGAAACCACCGTTCTAATATTTGCTTCTATGAATTTGACTATTGCAGATTCCTCATATAAATGGGATCACGCAATATTTGTCCTTTGGTGTTTGGTTTATTTCACCTAGCATTTTATTCTCCATGTTCATCTATGTTGTGGCAAATGGCAGTATTTCCTTCCTTTTTTAATGTTCAATGGTTCCTTCCTTTTTAAATATTCAATTGTGTGTATATATCATGTTTTCTGTATCCATTCATTCATCCATCCATGAACATTTAGGCTACTTCTACTTTTTGAATATTATAAATAGTGGTGCAGTGATTGGGAGGGCAGGTATCTCTTTGGGATACTGATTTCAATTCCTTTGGGTGTATACCTAGAAGTGCGATTGCTGGATCATATGGTAATTCTGTTTTTAAATTTCTGTGGAACCTAAGATAACAAGTGCTGGCAAGAATGTGGAGAAAAGGGAAACAAGGGAAACCTTGTACACTGCTGGTGAGAAAGTAAGGTGGTGTAGCCAATATAGAGAACACTCATGCTTAGTAAGCACTAAGTGGTTCGTAAACTCTATTTCTCTCCCTCGCCATATATATATATATATATATATATATATATATATATATATATATATATATATATATATATAAAATATCTTTAAATAAAATAGTAAATAATATTATTTATTATTATAGGGAATAGACTTTCCTCTGAAAGAAATTATTTCTGAATTTGATTAGGGCTCCTTAATTATATCTTAGAGTACAGCAAAGGGCTTTTATATGTTTGAAGACACTTGATTCAATGACATGCTAAGATTTGTCTATGTTATTTATAATGGGTGATACTTTTATTTCCAAAATTTGTTATCAAGTAAAGAACAATTACACAAATATACATCATTGAAAAGCAAATACATTTTGAAAAGTTTTAAACACCCAAGAAAAATTTTAAACAACTTTTTTTCTCCCCATTATTTGATAATATTTTTGATTTAGTATTTTCTACAATTTCTTTATATTGATTACCAAATTTGTTTGCTGATAAGAAGTGACAGGTGTTGTTTAAATCAGGTGCAAAATGTTTAAAGTTTCACATTTATGAAAAAAACATTCAGTTGGGAAAAAGATAAAAACAGAACACATTTACAATATAGAAATATTTGTCGGGTCCTGTTGTGATTTTTTAAAGTCCAATTATGAGGGCACTATGTTGTGTTAACCATTTTAGTATAAGTTAGTTGTATCTAGATGTTTAACCCTCCCTTTCCCCATCTGACACAAACTGTGATGATCACATTATATAGAACAGTCTGTGTTACCACTTCACTACAGGTAGAATTTTATTTAGGATATGATTTTAATTTTCCTGTAGAGTGCTGCCCCACTGTGGACAGATTAGGAATCACTGAAGCCTGACAAGTAATTACTTTTTGCAAATACTGTCTTTATTAAATCTCCCGTACAAATATTCCTTACATGTAATACCTGCATAAAGAAATATCCACCCAATGGTTACAAAAAATGTTGTAAAATTTGATATCTTCTCAGAGAACTACTTAAATATAAATAGGCCTTTTCTGAGTTACAAAATCTAAAAACTTTGCTTCATAAAATGTTTCTAAGGCATCAAACTGGAGTAGTAGAAAGACAAATTAACTTTTAAAGTCATAATCTCTTCTCAAGCCATTAAGCACATTTAATCTGTGCCACTACAAATTTTGGATATTGCCTATTGTTATCACAAACTAATATTTTCACATTCAGTTTTGTTTTTACATTATCTTGATTGATTTTAAGGCAGCCAGTATTGAACCTAAATAGTGAAGATGATGAATTTAGTTAAATTATTATGGCTGATTTCATCAGAGTTCATTGTGTAAAAATTTGACACTAGTGATAGAAATTATGATAATTGAATAAATTACAATGAGGTCATTAATTCATTTTATTTTTAATACATCTATGTGTTTATTCATAGCATCAACATAATTTTCCTCAGATTATAAAAGCATGTGCAACTAGTCTGTCTAAATCACCTCTTCTTTGAAAGTTAAAGCCATATTATAGAATTGTGACTTTTAGTCTTCACAATCTATTCTTCATCCAACATAGCTCTGCAACCTTTAGTTATAGATGTAAAAATTATTTTCCTCTTCACTCACCTTTTATTATTATTATTATTATCTATATTTGTAGGTCACAAAGATCTTATATAGTGTGGCATAGTGAAGGTAAGTTTGGGCAGAAAGTTAGAAAACTAGAACTTGGTCCTATGTGTGCCACCAATTAGGTGTGCATGCTCTTGAATTTCATTTAAAAGTGTGTTGTAATCTTCATCTCTCATCAGAGGATATTAGACTATGTAATTTTCTAGACTCTTTTTCAAATTATCTAAATTAGAAATTGTTTCTCTTGCAGTTTGGGTTCATTTAATTTGATTCAAATCAATTCAACTCACATCCATTCAATTTAGTTGTATTTGAATCAAAGAGTATTTATTACAACTTTCTATAGACACAGTCCTGCTATGAGCGCTGTACAGCCAGGGAACTCCTCTGTGAGGTGGGGGAATGAAAAAAGATTTGTAATGACTGATTTGTGACTTCAAAGTCCTCACTTTTCTCCCATTGATTTTTACTATAATTAGTGAAGTTAACCTCAAGAAATCATAAAGTCAGAAAAAGTCATCTTTGGCATGTCTTCTTTCTTCTAACTAGGTTCTCAAATAGATAAGTGTGTCCTCATTTTGAACCCAGGCCTCCCAGCACCTTTTTTTTTTTCTAAGCAAAGCTCTGTGCTGTTCTAATACGTGTCTTTCTTCACCTTCTCTCTGTTACACCAGCCACATTCTTTCATTTTCTTTGTGTCTCAGCTAACTTTGTTGTTGGGTGTGACACTAATAAAATTCTAAATCAGAAATACATAATAAATCACCAACTTACTGAAGACTTTCTCCCACACTCTTTGTCCTAATAAATGTTCCATCTCTGGTAACTGCAATGACTCGCTCATTGCCTGCACTGTACTTTTTTTCGTGGTTCACAAAGAAGCCAAGAGGGCAGAGAATGGCATACGCTAAACTCATATACTTCAACTCTAAGTCTTGCGTTTGCTTCCATTCTAGTTTCTTTTAATGAGTTAATTTGTTCCTTACTTTTCAGTAATCCTGCTTTCACAAAGATGCTGCCTTCAAGATACTCTCTTACAGTAACTAATACACACTTCTCTCATAAAAATATTCTGCGGAAAATAAGCAGCAAACAAATAAAAAATTCTAAAATAAACTTAATGCATTCTGTTTTCTTCCTCCTCAGCTCAACAAGACTGCAGCTCACTGCTTGAGTTCCACCTTCCTAAACCAGGGTGGAAAATGTTCCTAAGAAGGTGGCCAGGGTGAGAGTGCTGCTCACTTCATTTGTTTCCTTAAGTTCAAGGATCAGAGTCTGGGTATTTTTTTGTCCAATAACTGAACAAAAAGGTTTTTTATGTTCACATATTTGGTTCAGTTTTAAAATTGTTTACAGTGGAAAAGCAAGTGTCTTCAGTCATTTTCCCTCATGAATGGAAATCCATAGTATTTACATGACAGTTTGTTTACAGGTGAATTTAGTAAAGGTAGCTGTATTAGTCTGTTCTCACACTACTAATGAAGACATACCTGAGACTGTGTAATTTATAAAGGAAGGAGGTTTAATTGACTCACAGTTCCACAGGGATGAGAAGGCCTCAGGAAGCTTGTAATCATGGTGGAAGGGGATGCAAACACATCCTTCTTCATATGGCAGCAGCAAGGAGAAGTACAGAGCAAAAGGGGGAAAAGGCTCTTATACAACCATCAGATCTTGTGAGAACTCACTCACTATCATGAGAACAGCATGGAGGTACATGGAGGTAATGGGCTCCCATGATTCAATTACCTCCCACTGGTCCCTCCCATTACACATGGGGATTATGGGGACTACAATTGAAGGTGAGATTTTATGAGATTTGAATGGGGACACAGCCAAACCATATCATTCCACTACTGACCCCCCCCAAATCTCTTGTCCTCACAGTTCAAAACGTAATCATGCCCTCCAACAATCCCCTAAAGTCTTAACTCATTCCGGCATTAACTCAAAAGTCCAAGTCCAAAGTCTTATCTGAGACAAGGCAAGTCCCTTCCACCTATGAGTCTATAAAATCAAAAGCAAGTTAGTCACTTCCTAGATACAATGAAGGTACAGGCATTGGGTGAATGCATCTGTACTAAATGGGAGAAATCGGACAAAACAAAGAGGCTACAGGACCCATGCAAATTCAAAATCCAATAGGATGGTCCTTAAACTTTCAATTTCCAAAATGATCTCCTTTAACTCCATGTCTTATATCCAGGACATGCTGATGCAAGAGTTAGGCTCCCACAGCCTTGGGCAGCTTTGTCCTTGTGGCTTTCCAGGGTACAGGCCCCCTCCTGTCTGCTTTCATGGGCTGGTGTTGAGTGTCTGTGGCTTTTCCAGGTGCACAGTGGCCCACTCTTGCAGCAAACTTCTGCCTGGACATCTAGGAGTTCCATACATCCTCTGCTATCTAGGTGTAGGTTCCCAAACCTCAATTATTGATTTCTGTGCACCTGCAGGCTGAACACCATGGGAAGCTGCCAAGGCTTGGGGCTTGCACCCTCTGTAGCCAAGGCTTGAACTGTACCCAGGCCACTTTTAGCAGTGGCTGGCACAGCTGGGATACAGGGCACCAAGTTCCTAGGCTGCACACAGGAGGGTGAGCCCAGCCCACAAAACCATTTTTTCCTCCTAGGCCTTGGGCTTATGATGGGAGGGGCTTCCATGAAGGTCTGTGACATACTCTGGAGACATTTTTCCCATTGCCTTGGTAATTAACATTTCATTTCTTGTTATGCAAATTTCATAGCAGGCTTGAATTTCTCCCCAGAAAAATGGGATTTTCTTTTCTATTCTATTGTCAGGCTGCACATTTTTCAAACTTTTATATTCTGCTTCCTCTTGAATGCTTTGCTGCTTAGAAATTTATTCTTCCAGATACCCTAAATCATCTCTCTCAAGTTTAAAGTTTCACAGATGACTAGGGAAGGGACAAAATGCTGCCAGTCTCTATGCTAAAGCATAGCAAGAGTCACCTTTGCTCCAGTTGCCAACAAGTTCCTCATCTCCGTCTGAGACCACCTCAGCCTGGACTTTACTGTCCATATCACTATCAGAATTTTGGTCAAAGCCATTCAACAAGTTTCTAGGAAGTTCCAAACTTTCCCACATCTTCTTGTCTTCTTCTGAGCCCTCCAAACTGTTCCAGCCTCTGCCTGTTACCCAGTTCCAAAGTCACTTCCACATTTTTGGGTATCTTTATAGCAGCATCCCACTCTACCAGTGCCAATTTACTATATTAGTCCATTCTCACACTGCTAATAAAGACATACCTAAGACTGGGTAATTTATAAAGGAAAGAGTTTTAATTGACTCACAGTTCTGCAGGGTTGGAGAGGCCTCAGGAAACTTAAAATCATGCAGAAAAGGAAGCAAACACATCCCTCTTCACAAGGCGGCAGCAAGGAGAAGTGCAGATCAAAGTAGGGGGAAAACCCCTTATAAAACCATCAGATCTTGTGAGAACTCACTCACTATTACGAGAACAGCATGGACATAACCACCCCTGACATTCAATTACCTCCCACTGTGCCCCTTCCATGACTCGTGGGGATTGTGGGAACTATAATTCAAGATGAGATTTGGGTGGGAAAACGGCCACACCATATCATTAGCCGTATGGTCAATAACTGTACAATGTTAGAGTAATTCCCAAAAAAAATAGTTTCAAATATATTTTCTTTTTGAAAACCAAAAAAAAAAAAAATTCTAAATTAAGTCTAGTTAAGACATCTTGATGTTTCACTGTTATTTGCATTTTGAACTCTTCATTTGGCTAAACCATACTAGAATCCCAACTCTTTGACTGTAAGGATAGGTTCCCTCGCCAGTAAAATGGGGACAGTCATGCCAACCTAACAATTTTGTTTTAGTGACTAAATTATCAAATAAAGTAATTTAAAAAATTTTTCAGTGCCTGACACTTAGCAGTAACTCAAGAAATACAGAATTGGTTATGGTTATGATTATTACTATCATTTCAGGTTAGGCTATTAGATACATAAGAAGTTTGAGTTTTACAGGCTTCTAAATGCCTCTCAATGTATGCACCTTTGATGCATATTCCTCCACTTTATTTTATTATTTTCTTGCACAAATATATATTTTAACTGTGTATATTAGCATGTCTCAACTCTAGTCCCAAAATAATCTGACCTGATGAAAGAAAAGGAAATGTTATAGTAAGTTTGGGAAAACATTGTGATCAACAGGCTCATTTTGAAGGTTCAGGTTTCCATTAATATATCAAAGGCACTGAAAAAACCTCCAGTAAAAAAAAAAAATATATATATATATATAAACATATCTATATATTTATACAAATGCTATTATACATGCTATTGTGCACCATCTTTTAATAGTGCATTTTATTAAACCTGCATTGGGAGAGGCCAGTATATAAAATACCCTGGTTTTTGTTGAAACCATTAAATGAATAAATATTTACATTTTTATTATAGTAGAGATTGGCATCTTTTATAACAGAATCCTTTTCTTTTGTAAATTTATGCATTGTTTATTTTGAAATATTCACTTATCAAAAGACTCGTTTGTAGAGATTATGAAAATAAGCAGCACCTACAATTTTAGAGTGAGATACTTCAAAGGTATCTGTATAATAGTTTAACAATTACTTGGCAGAGATTACCTGAATATATGAGTTTTTAATATTTTTAAGCAAGAAGTAGAAATACAATTTGATGTAGTTTGACCCACCATTGAAATACCTGTATAAATTAGAATCAAGAGAGTTAAGCACTAAGATTTGAGAAAAGCAGAGAGAATGCTAAACCCAGGAATGATTGAAGGTAGGCCAGGGACTTCAGGCCATCATGACTTTCCTGTCCCCTTTTCTCTGTTTCTTTCAAGACATTGGCTTTGCTCAATGTCAGTGTGAAGCATCTTGTTCTATAGACCAGAACACATCCCACTGAGAGCTCTTGATTTTAGCAGTTTATAATTTTAGTTAAGAATGGCCAGGTGCGGTGGCTCACGCCTGTAATCCCAGCGCTTTGGGAGGCTGACACAGGCAGATCATGAGGTCAGGAGTTCGAGACTAGCTTGGCCAACATGGTGAAACCCTGTGTCTACTAAAAATACAAAAAATTAACCGGGTGTGGTGGCAGGCATCTGTAATCCCAGCTACACAGGAGGCTGAGGCAGGAGAATCGTTTGAACTTCAGGAGGCAGAGGTTGCAGTGAGTTGAGACCACACCACTGCACTCCAGCCTGGGCAACAGAGTGAGACTCCATCTCAAAAATAATAATAATAATAATTTTAGTCAAGAACAGAGATCCTCATAAATTTGGTTCTAGAAACTTTGGAGAAAGGCCCTTAAGGTCCAGGTTAGGTTGAGTGTCTCAGAAGTCAGAGAACATATCCACAGTTTACTGATGTCATTATGTCCACAAAACTCACCATGAGCAGTGCCCAGAAGAAAATATGGGCTGCCTGTGTGGCAGAACGAGACCCTATCACAAATTAAAAAAAAAAAAAAGAGTTAATAGGGAGGGAATTCATAGAGATTCACTGTACCAGGATTAGATATTATTCATTGAGAAAAGGAACATACACTCTTTTTCAATAAACATCCTTAAAGGCCAATATCACCTACGGATCCTTCCCTTTGAAATTTAGGTCGCTTCACTTAAATCTGCTAATTTTGTTGGTTGGTAAAAGTCCAGAGCTTCTTCATAATTTTCTGAGTTCTGGCAGCTTATGCACTCCTGGTTCCCTCTAGCTCTGTCTTGGTGCTTTTTTATCCATCCGCTCTTGTTGGGTCTTCACAAGAAGCCCAGGCTTTTCACATTTTGTTGGGGAAAGGAGAATGGAAATACACTGGCACAAAGTTGCATGTGTGGCAGGGTGGGGAGAAAGGGAATTGAACTTTTACAAGAGTTTGTAGTGCAGGTGGAAAGGAAGACTCAGACTGCTGAGTGCAAGCACACTGACCCTGTGTCAACACCCACAACCCTGTCCTCTCTTTTCCCCTTGGTTCGGTTAGAAGAAATCTTATTCTGCTCAAATGAAGTACATTCTATGTCCAACAACCCTTATGTCCTCCAATCCTTGAAGTCTTATTTTCTACCACAACCACTCATTTACTAATTTATTTTCCCAGCAAAATCAATTTTTCTTTCCAAAAATGAATTCTGATGGCTAAAGTGTTCTCAATCTTTTTAGCTTATTGGAGTCATCCATTTCAATGATTTCTGATGTGTTGTTTGAGTGATCTGGGTTCCAAGCTGAGGCTTCCAATCCACTTGTTTAGTTACATATATTTTTATTAACTATGTAATGTGAATCTCTGTGGGAACTGTTTTGAAGGTAGTGGAGGTGGGTATAATTGAACTTTAGCAGAATACACTGCTAGTATTCAAGAAGTGATACAATAATAATAGTACTAATAATAATAACAACTGGCCCTTATGTAACCTCTACTATTAATTAGTCACAGTTCTGAGTACTTTGCATACATTAAATATCTTAATCGCTACAATCACCCTCTGAAGTAGGTATTATTATTATCTGTATTTCACAGATGGGGAAACTGAGAAGCAGAGAAGTTAAATACTTTGTTCAGGTTTCTCAGCTTGTGAGATTTAAGCCTTGGCAATCTAACACCTATGTCTCTGTTCTTAAAGAGACATTGGGATAAATATAAGAAGATGCAGAAAATGCTAATCACTGGAGTCCTTGAAGAGATGATAAAGGGAGGTAGCTTAGCAGGGCTACTCACTAGAATGGAAGATGCCACTCTAGGAGGCTGCAGTGCATTTCTTGGGGGTAGTGGCTGGGATAGAGAAGGTTTATATGGCAGGACTGGAGGTTTTCAAAAGGGACACAGAGCATGGCAGATAGATTAAAATAATGAAGGACCCTGAGTAGTGTAACATGTGCCATTCCATAGTGCTTCACTGCAGGTATGAAAGACACATCTTAAAACAAGAATTAGTAATTTATTTTGGAAAATATCAAGGTGGCCACATTTAGCATAATGGCCAGTGTGGGACTAAAGCATAACTTACTTGAATTATGTGTGAGGATAGAGGAAATCATGATAAAATATCTTTAGGAATTCACAGATATCATTGATATTTAAATATATGTATATCAAAATTTGGAACATATATTAAGGAAAAGGATAATATATTTCCTGTACATGTGTTAAAAATTGAGAATTGTTTGCAAGAAGCTATGCCAAAAAAATCTTGTGAAACAGATTTGTACATCAAGTCTATAAGGATTAAGAAAATACACATTGTACTTCCTGCAAAGCCTAATTAAAAAGCTTTAGACTTCAGAAAGGACCAGTCACCCTTCAAATTTCTGATGTCAATGAAATTAATTGGGAATGATTGGGGAAAAATAAACAAGATATTGAGGAATCTGTTTGTATTTAGAAAGCTGGGGATGCTGTGGTAGCCTTGCCCTTTAGAAATCAGATCTCGATGACTAGGGACATGATATGTGGAGCTAAGCAGATCATCTCTTTTTAGTGAGAAGTCTCCCTAAAATAAGCCATTGCTCCCAGGGGAGGCCCTGACTTGCCTTTGCTTAATGAGGCTTCACATAATAAAACATGAGTGATGACCCAGAAGCTCTAAGTAATAGCTAGTTACAAGGCTGGGACATAATTTTTGAAATGCCATAGGAATTCATGGGAAAGAGAGGTATCTCCCAAAAGTCAAAGAAGACTTCATGGGAAAGGAGTGTTTCACTTGGGTTTTGAAAAATAGGTATGATTTGAACAGAGATATGTAGAGGTTTTTTTTTTTTTTTATTTAAGGGAACAACTACAAATAAAATATAGAGGAAAGAGAAAAGTTGGGGGTGGTGATATGTTGAAAGAGATGTTGAAATTAGCTAAAACATCAGCTACAAATTAGGAAGTTGTGAGTGATAAACAGGAAAAAGAAACATTCAAGTGATTTTATGGAGAATTTAAATATTGGCATATTAAATAAAGTTGATTCTTATAAATTATATAATAAAGTAGGATGAAACATTTCAAGCAGGGGAATAACATGATTGAACTATAATAGAATGCCTGGAATTTAACTTGCTCCTAAAGTGGTTCATTAAGTGTTGAAAATAATCATTGTAAAATATTTTCAGAACTCACAGCATGGATTATAAATTAGCTGACTAAATGTACTTTTTAAATCCTCTTATTTTGTTGAATAAAAGACTGGTTCTTTTAGAACCAAAGCTGTAATACTAAAAAGGCTATATATAAAAAACTTATTTTTTTATAATAATCACATTCATCCTCTTTTAAGTAATCCTTTCACTTGCTTTTTTTTTAATCAAATATCTTGCACTGGGATCATTCATCAAGTCTGTATTTGGAGTTTGTGCTTCATAATTCAAATTGCCAACAATCTTACATTTTCTTTCATAAGTACAAGGGGCTGTGTTACACACATGCATTTATATAATGGCACAATTTTATCACTTGTTTATAAATCTTAACTTGGTTATTTTTAGGATAACTTTTATTATAATATAAGATACATGTAGCATAAAATAACAATAGTGAGATATATATTTTAATATAGCATAAATTAACTATAGTACCTATACTTACAAAGACCTAAGTATACAGCTCGATGAATTTTTTGCAAAGTGAATACAGCTATGCAACCACCACCTGGGTCAAGATGTAATGTCTACATCTTGAAATGTAGCCCAGATACCTCCTCATTTCTTCTCTCAATCTTTAACCTTGACCCACAAATGTAAACATTACTCTCATTTCTATCACAATAGATTTTTTTGAGCTCCATATGTACCTGAAATCATATCAAATATATTTTGTTTGAGTTCTTCATTCAATATAAGCATATAAGTTTCACCCATGTTGTTGCAGATAGGAGTAGTTAATTTAATTCCTTTTTTTGTTTTTTTCTTTTTTTCTGTATGTTGTGGTACTATATGACTACAACAATGTCTATGTAACTATATGTAACATATGTAACTATATGATATGGCTTGGCTCTGTGTCCCCACCCAAATCTGGTCTCAAATTGTAATCCCCAATGTTGGGGTGGAGGACCTTGTAGGAGGAGGTGATTAGATCATGGGGGTCGATTTCCCCCTTGCTCTTCTTGTGATAGTGACTGAGTTCTCATGAGATCTTGTTGTTTGAAAGTGTGTAGCACTTCCTCCTTCAATCTCTCTCCGGCTGGCCATGTGAAGATATGCTTGCTTTCTCTTTGCCTTCAGTCATGATTGTAAGTTTCCTGAGGCCTGCCCAGAAGCAGAAGTCTGTACAGCCTGCAGAATCATGAACCAATTAAACCTCTTTTCTTTATAAATTACCCCGTCTCAGGTATGTCTTTATAGCACTGTGAGAATGGACTAATACAGAAAAATTGGTACCAGAGAAGGGGGGCATTGCTATAAGGATACCTGAAAATGTAGAAGCAGCTTTGAAACTGGTTACTGGACAGAGGTTGGAACAGTTTGGAGGGCTCAGAAGAAGAAAGGAGAATGAGGGAAAGTTTGGAACTTCTTGGAGACTTATTGAATGGTTGTAACCAAAATGCTGATAGTGATATGAAAAATGAAGTCCAAGGCTAAGGAGATCTCAGATGAACATGAGGAACTTATTGGGAACCAGTGTAAAGGTCACTCTTGCTATGCTTTAACAAAGAGACTGGTGGCATTGTGCTCCTGTTTTAGAGACATGTGAAACTTTGAACTTGAAAGACGTGATTTACGGTATCTAGCATAAGAAATTTCTAAGCATCATTGTTCAAGATGTGGCCTGGCTGCTTCTAAGAGGATACGCTCACATGTGTGAACAAAGAGATGGTCTGAAATTGGAACTTATATTTAAAAGGGAAGCAGACCATAAACATTTGAAAAATTTGCAGCCTGGCCATGTGGTAGAAAAGAAAAACCCATTTTCAGAGCAGAAATTCAAGCTGACTGCAGAAATTTCTGTAAGTAGGGAGGAGCTGAATGTTAACAGTCAATACAATGGGGAAGATGCCTCCAAGGCATTTAAGAGACCTTCAAGTAGTCCCTCCCTTCACAGGCCTGCAGGCCTAGGAGGGCAGAATGGTTCTGTGAGCTGGGCCCAGGGCCCCACTGCTCTGTGCAGCCTTGGGACACAGTACCCTACATCCCAGCTGTTCCAGCTCCAGCTTTGGATAGAAGGGACTCAGAAATTTCTCAGGCCACTGCTCCAGAAGGTACAAGCTGAAAGCCTTGGCTACTTCCACATGGTGTTAAGACTGTGGGTGTGCAGAGGGCAAGAGTTGGGGTTTGCAAGCCTCCACCTAGCTTTCAGAGGATATATAGAAACACCTGGATGTCCAGGCAAAAGTCTGCTGCAGGGGCAGATCCCTCATGGAGAACCTCTACTAGGGCAATGCTGAGGGGAAATGGGCTGGAGTCCCCTAACAGAGTCTCCACTTTGGCACTGCTCAGTGGAGCTGTGAGAAGAGTGCCACAGTCCTCTAGACTCCAGAATGGTAGATTCACCAACAGCTTACACCATGTACTTAGAAAAGTTGCAGGCACTCAACACCAGCCCATAAAAGCAGCTGTGGGGGTTACACCCTGCAGAGCCACAAGAGTAGAGATGTCCACAGCATTAGGAGCCCAACTCTTGCATTAGTGTGGCATGGATGTGAGACATGAAATCAAAGGAGATTATTTTGGTGCTTTAAGATTGACTGCCCTGCTAGATTTCTGACTTGCATGGCACCTGTAGCCCATTTGTTTTGGCCAATATTGCCCATTTGGAGTAAGAGCGTTTACACAATGCCTGTACCCTCATTGTATCTTGGAAGTAACTAACTTGTTTTTTATTTTACAGGCTCATTTGTAGAAGGGACTTGCCTTGTCTCTGATGAGATTTTGGACTTGGACTTTTGAGTTAATGCTGGAATGAGTTGCAACTTTGGAGACTGTTGGGAAGGCATGATTGTGTTTTGAAATGTGAGGATATGATATTTGGGAGGGGTCAGGGGAAGAATGACATGGTTTGGCTCTGTGTCCCCACTCAAATCTCATATCAAATTGTAATCCACCACGTGTTGAGGGAGGGAGCCTGTGGGAGGTGATTGGATCATGGGGGCAGATTTCCCCCTTGCTCTTCTCATGATAGTGAGTGAGGTCTCATGAGATCTGGTTGTTTGAAAGTGTGTAACACTTCCCCCTTTGCTCTCTTTCCTGATGGCCATGCGAAGACATACTTGCTTCCCCTTCACCTTCTGCCATGATTGTAGTTTCCTGAGGCCTGCCCCGAAGCAGAAGCCTGTACAACCCACAGAACTATGAGCCAATTAATCATCTTTTCTTTATAAATTACCCAGTCTCAGGTATGTCTTTATAGCAGTGTGAGAACAGACTGATACACCATAATACTATTAATTGTCTTTAATATTGTTTTTCAATTTATAATATAAATAAAGTTGTAAAGGACAGTCTTATATGTGCCTCCTCATGCATAGCTATACTCATTTATGTTAGATATAGCAGGGAATGTAATTATTGGAACATAGGGTAAGCATATGTTCAGCTTTAGTTTAACTTTATTCTTTTTATCTACCCTGTTTAGAGATTATTAGAGGATGCATTATCATCATTCTGGTAGAACATAAATGGCTTCCTTCTTTCTCTTAAAACATCACTGATACTGATGTATTCAGCACTTCTTTTTAGGACACTACAGAAATTTTATATATAGATGTAGAAATCAAGCCAACAAAATATAAGATGATTTTATTGAAGTCATGCATAAAGTAAATAAGAGATTTGGAAATATAGCTCAGAATATGCAAACCCTCAAGTCATCATAAAATGCCACTTTAAAAAATTGAATCAAAAGTCAAAATATTCTGGTAAAGAATCATCCTGGAGTGGATGAAGGCAACATGCTATTCAATGTAGTCTTTCTCACCACCAAAGGAATTGACTTTTGAAAGGAGTGATAAGTCTGGCATATACAGTGATAGACTCTGATCAGAAACATAAAGTCATTTACATTGTGCTCAGACTATGATGATGGATGTGATGCTATTTCTAGTGCAATGATAGGTCCAGGTAGCAATGGTGGCATTCTGGCTGGTGTAGACTCATTCAGCAGCTTGATTCCAGTTGGTTTCTTCAGAGAATAGGCCCCTCTAGTAAGCATCTGCATGAGTGAACTAGATGGTTTGATAGAAGCAGCAATTTATTTCCACAATTTGCAGCCCCAAAGGGGTTGCATTTAATTGTCCAGTAATTTTTCAAGTAGAAGAAAAAAATAGACTGGCCATTGGCAACAGCCCAAGAGCCAGAAGATAAATTCAACAGGGTTATGAATGGGGGTATGGGCCAAAGCTATAAGGATGATCTTGAGTTTTCTCCACTGAACAAAGTGACCAGATCCATTTTTACGGAGTGGCCCCAGCCTCAGTTGCCAACCACTGGATCTCAGCATAGCCAAAATTTCAGTGAACCAGGACCAGCTATTCAGAGTACAGTGGCTACACTTCAGATTATGGAGAGGGGAATAAAATTTTCCACAGATGTACAATGAGTAATCACATTACACATTTATGCCTACAACAGAATATCCTATATTTCCCATAAATATATATACCAACTGTGTACCCACAAAAATTAAAAATTAAAAGTTTTAAATGAAAAAAAAAATTCCCCCAAGAGTCAGCTGCTGCATTTCATATAAAATTGAGGGTTGCTGGGACCTAATCACATGTTTTCTTTTATATGCTATTTCCTTGTAACAAACACGGATTTTTGGGCCTTTGCCACATTGTTAGTGGGTGAGTTTCAGTTGCCTCACTTTAAAATGGGAACATTGAAATAAAGAATCCCAAGGGTAATATGGGTCAGGACCCAATAGCAAGCTAACGGCTGTCTCTCTAAAGTGTTTTACTTGATAGCTGCTTCTGAGTGGTGACAAATACCCAAAGAGGCATCTTCCTTTGTCAGAGACTATAATTAGCATAATCACAAATACATGGAGCTTAAAGGGCTCATTAGGGCTGTGGGGCCTGGAGGATAGAAAGAATGCCACAGCTTGCTAGACAGCTTTCAACTCAGACTTCCTAAAAATGCTGGTTTTCAAGATGACTGACATAAAGGCTCAAGTAGAATTCCCCAGTTAGGTATGTTGTGTCTCCAAAACCCAATGGTTCAGTATGGTGCTGGATCTCCCTTTTCTTGCTTAGGGGCTGAGCACAAAGCAGTTTTTCATTGATTATAGAAATCTAAAGGAATTGTAGAGAATTGTTTCCCTACACTTAGGAGTTGTAAAATTTAATAAACTTTTCAAATATTTCTGGCTTTCAACTTTCTTCTACAGAAAATAGACATATTGTAAATTTGGAGCAGGGATGTATAAAATGTATAAAGTCCCTATTATACAGTAGGTATTCGGTAAAGTAGTAGAAAAATTCTTCAGGAAAGAGAAAATTGAGTGAACACATTTTATAATAAAATATAACCAATATGGATTTAATATTATATAACATTCAATTAGAATTCAGTATTTCTATAAGGCAACTGATAACATTATTTCTAGCAATGTAAATTTATTATATCATTCATGACTTAGAGCTAATCGTGAAAATGTCATTCTATTAAGTCCCAAACCTCAAAGTGTTCTCTTAAAGAGCAGCATATATTTCCCTACTTGTACATATATTTTTAGTTTAAATGTGCCTACATGTACATGTGTTGTAGTAGTCTGTTTTGTGTTGCTATAAAGGAATAACTGAGATCGGGTAATTTATAAAGAAAGGAGTTTTATTTGGTACATTGTTCTGCAGGCTGTACAAGCATGGCACCAGCATCTGCTTAGCTTCCAGTGAGGCCTCAGGAAGCTTTCACTCATGGTGGAAGGCAAAGGAGTAGCACGTGTGTCATTTGGTAAGAGAGGGAGTGAGAGACAGAGAGAGAGAGAGAGAGAGAGAGAGAGAGAGAGAGAGTGTCTGAGTCTCTTTAATAACCAGATCTCACTTGGACTAATTACTGGAAGGAGGGCACTAACTCATTCATGAGTGATCTGCCCCCATGACCCAAACACCTCCCTTCAGGCCCCACTTCCAACACTGGGGATCATATGTCAACATGAGATTTGGAGGGGACAAATACTCAAACTACATCACACACACATATTAATAAATCCAGGCAGCACTCAAGGTAATTAAAATTAAAAATTAGGTCTGTAGTGTCTAAGTTCACTTGGCTTGGCAGGAAATTATTGTAAGTGTATACGTATATGTGTGTATATTTCTCCTTATTAAAATCAACATGCTGTTCAGAAATAATTTTATAGACTTTTTTAACTGTTAAGCTGTTAGAACTGTCTTTATGTCTTCATATTTGTTTATTAAATTCATTCATTCAATTCACTCATGAATGCATTGACTTAGTACACTAATATATCATCCACACAGCCAGAAAATTGAAAGGCTAATAGGAGATATAAGTAATAATTTTCACTGACCACAAATTAGTAATATGATCATGTAAACAAATCTGTAGTGAACCAAGATAAAGGTTAGGTGTAAAATAACATTAAAGAGAGAAATGATGGATTAATATAAACTAGAGAGGTTCAAGAATGCTACAAACAGAAGGTCAGATTTAAGGAAAAGTGTAATTCACAAAAGACAAGTTTAAGCTGTCCAAATAAAGATAATGCAGAACACAGAGAACATGTAAAAAGAAAAGTACTGTGATCTGTGAGGAGGCTATCTTGGCCTTAGGAAAGCTGTTGTCATTAATACTGGTGTAGGTTTAAATTCTTTGGATTATTGGGGAAACCATAGTTGAGCCAGATATGAATTTAGGGAAGGCCATGTAACAGATATTTAATAAAGTTAAAATAAATATTTTGTTATAAAATTATTATGTATGGAGTAATTATTAGCTATTTAATATTTGTGGCCCCTTTCCATTAAGTACTTTTGCCCTAGGAAGTGGCTAGCCAGCCCAAAACTGTATATTTTCAGCTCCCACCCAGCCCCCTTACATCTAAGTGGAGACATGCCATTAGTTCCTGCCAATAGAATGTGAGGGTAAGTGATGTATGCTACTTTTAGACCCTTCAGAAATGGCTAAGAAGTGAGTATAGATGTATGTGTTTCCAGTAGTCTCTTTCTCCATCTATTAATTTAACAGAATATTTCAAGACCCTTCAAAAAGACAGAGGAACAAGATGGGAACCTGAGTTTCTGAATGAATATGTGGAATGATCTAGGGCAGCGAGAAATAAATACTATTATATTACATCACTGAGTTTATTTCGGAGTTTATTTTTACAGCAGACAGCTAATATATCCGTCTATTTGTCTCCATTTATTAGACAACTAGATATGAATCATCATAATATCAAAGCACCATTTTCTTCATTAGAAAGAGAACAACCAAAATTTGACTCAATATGATTCACTATAAAAATTTATTTTGATATCTTATATTCTGAAAGGCAAGGTTCTAAAGCACAAAAACAACCTTTTTGAGAAAAAAATAAATTTTTATGTAGAGGCAAAAAAAAAAAAATTTAAAAGAGCATGTAGACTAGGAAAGCCAAACACTAGCCTTAGGATCTCAAGAATGGCATGCTGAAAATGTAAGGATAGATAATGCAGGGGAACTTTGCAGAAAATGTTTATTTCAAACTGCTGCAAGGTGATTTGGAATGCATTTCCGTTTTATAACCTCATTTTAGGTAGTTTCCAGTGTCTCTTAGCAGATAATTTAGCTGCTTCAGTGGATTTTATTGCTTCTTTCTAAATTTGTCAAGTCCTCCTTTGCCAATAGCATGAGGTTAAATGGATGTCAAGAGATTGCCTCTAGTTGTGATTGCTCTGTTTCCTATGATAGCACTAGTGCTCAGTGTTGAGGCTGCTCCCAAGTGCTGTTTCAACACCCAGGTTCAAATATTAGTCTGTTTTGTTATTACTTGGCTGATATATGATACAAAAAGTTCATCATTTCAGGCAGCTGATCCTTTGTCATTGTGTCCTTATGTCCTTTTTTCCCAAATTTTCACTTATGTCCTAAACACTTACGGCATTATTTATATTATAGGTTGACTATTCCTTATCAAAATGCTTGGGACCAGAAGTATTCAGGTTGGATTTTTTTTTTTTTTTTTTTTTTTTTGCATTTTGGAATATGTGTATTTACATAATGTGATATCTTGGGAATAGGACCCAAGTCTAAACACAAAAGATATTTCTTTCTCATATACACCTCATACACATAGTCTTAAGGTAATTTTCTACAATATTTTAATAATTTTGTGCATGAAACAAAATTTTGATGCATTTTGACTGCAACTCATTACATGAGGTCAGGTATGAAATTTTCCACTTGTGGCAACATGTTGAGACTCATATTTAGGAGCACTTTAGATTTCGATTTTTGTGTTAAGTATATGTAGTCTATACTGGCAAATATGGCTAATTTAAAAATATGTGGCTCTGTTTCTGTCTCTCTCTTTTTCTATATCTCTGTCTCTCTCTCTGGCGATTACCAGTGATAGCTACATTGTTTTAGGATCTGAAAAGGCATAGATACTTTTAGCTAACCTGTCTTATTAGATGTAGACTTGTAAATTTTAAAATCTGCAACATTTTCTTTAATTTAGAAAAGTAATAAATGTATTTAAGATGGAAATACTGTGTAAGTGTAAAGCACAAATTTTAAAAAATAAGCATATCTTAGTTTATAGAGATCTGATAAATAATGACTACTTACTGATTAAGAAGATCAAACTAGGATTTGCTACACTAACTTAATCCTAGGTGATCTTATGTAAAGATAATGTATCCTTGCTATACAATTTTAAATTACAAACACATATGTGGGAGTTTACAAGTATTTTATTTTTAAAACACGTATATTATGCTCCTTTTTATAAACAATTTGAAGAAACTTAAATAAAAAGACCGATTTAACATACCTAACCAAACAAAAACACAAAGGGAATTTAAGATCAAGGTAAAGGAGCAAGCAACTATTCTCAGTATAGCTACTCTAGTGTTAAAAAGATGAAAGTGCAGTTTGTTTCTGGGCTACCACAAAGCCAAGCCAAGTTAGCCATGTTATCACAAAAGCACCAGTCCAAACATCAGGAGGCTCATGTTCAAGTTCTAGCTTCTGCAGGCAGGAAACCTTGAGCAAATCACATTACTTCTCCCAGCCTCAGTTCCTTCATATGTAAATAATGGGCTAAAGCTAAGTCATTTCTAAGGTGTCTTCTTTAGACAGAAAATTGATCCTGCCCACACAAACATGTAAATCTTAAAAAATGAATTCATGAGGATACCGGTTCAGGAATTTGCTGTTTGTTTTCGTAGCTGTCATGCTTATGCTCCCAGTCTTCCTCCCCTCCTCCCACACACATAATAGAGAGAATTGTACTAATAAATCCCAGAATATGGATACTTATTATGGAAATAAATATTTTTGTTTTAACTAACTTTTCTGTGTCTAGTACTTATTAGAGTGAACTTAGAAAAACCAGATCTTTTAAGATTGGCAATGGAGGCAAATAAGGAACAGTCCTCCACCTGGCTAAATAAAAACAATAACATTCTGTATATATGGAAGAAAATATCATTTAATTGATTCTCATCAATCCGAAATGGAAGAACCCTTGAAGAGAGGATGATATTTTTCCCTTTGAATTATCCTTGTACAAAAAGACTACTTGAGCAAAAATGGTTTGGAAAAATTTAGTATGCATTTCCTAAACCAAAGTGTGGAGGAAATACCTTTCAACATTTTAGAACCAACTATTATTACCTATAAATAAATTATACCAAATACAAAGGACACTAAACTCATGAATAGGTTTTTTCCAAATTGCCTCTTAGATAGAAACAAAGTAATAATATCCATATCCCTAGATACTTTCTCAAAATTCTACTTTAATTCCAGCTTTTTAAAAAGACTACTTTGTTTGACACAGCTTGGGGTTTGATCTTCATGAATATTTTGTCTAGCTACCACAATATCTTTGATTGTAGGATCCTCTTATTGACAAATAATTTTTATATTCTGTAAAATGGGCCTCTATTTACAATTTTATTATTTGGTAATCTTTTTGCATTGGTACCTGACTCTTCTTGTGTTCTCTGAATAAATCAACAAACCGTTCTTTATACCATTAAACTATATGCTTTTACTGTGTTGTTCAGCTGTTTTGTACTTTCACATCAATAAGCAACAATTGGTCTATCAATATCTATTCTTTGAGTTTCTTAACTGTATTAGGGCAGCTGAATAGATTTGATTATTGCAGAAATTGATTTTTCTGTGAAATTATCACATGGTTTAGATGCCTTTGCGGAAGGTTAAGTATGCTAAATCATATTTTATTTTATTTTTGGTAACATTAATAATTTTAACAATTGTTATCAAAGTAAAATTAGATGTACTAGGTGTTAAATTACAGAAATGACCGCATTTATAAGGAGTGGTATCACTTAGCAATGTTTTTGGTTGTGAGTGACAGAAAATCTAATTAATAGTAGCTGGCGTAACTCAGGAATTTATATATTTCTTCCAGCAAGACCTGTAAGTGCAATGCTTTGTTGTGGCTCTATAATGTCATCAAGCCCCTATGTACATTCGACCTTTCTGCTCCCCTGTCCTAAGTGGATAGTTCTCATGCTTAGGGTAAGGAAGCACATAGTACTGTATTTTCAAGTATAAAGAAAGCTGAAAAGGGGAAAGGACCAAAGATGCATAGTCTATCAATAGCTAGCCAAAGCTGTCTACTGAAAACTCTAATTACATCTTCTTGTGTAGGGGTAGAGCCCAGGCCAATCTCAGTTATAAGCAGATGGGTGTTTTAATATTCCATGCTCTGTAGAAGGATGTAAGGGAGAAAGGTTATAAATACCTTTGTGGTTAACCAATTTGCAGGATTTTCTCAGAGAATGTTCACATTTTTATTTTTCTAAAGAACAGCCATTTGTGCCAAAACACTGTGTGCCAGAGTGTCTCTCTCCTCCTGCCTCTCCCCTAGTATGTTAGTCTGATTTCTTCAGATAGACAGAATCAAGAGCTCTTGTCCCATGATCTGAAGTCAGGAAGCTGGAGATTCAGGAGAGCCAAAGTTATAGTTTTAGTCTGAGTCTGAAGGACTGAGAACCAGGGAAGATGATGGTGTAAGCTCCAGTCCATGTCCAAGCAGAAGGCAGGAGAAGACTGATGTCCTGGCTTAGAGAGAGAGAGAGAGAGAGAGAGAGAGAGAGAATTCTCCCTTATTCCACCTTTTTGTTTTATTCAGGTTTCCAATGTACTTGATAAGGTGCACCCACAATGAGGACAATCTGCTTTACTCAGTCTACCAGTGTTAGTGTAAACCAGAAACACTCCTACAGTCACAAAATATCTGGGCACCTCATAGTCCAGTCAAATTGACTCATAAAATTAACCATCATGCCCACTTACTCTGTATGCTTGAGGGGCATCTCTTAAGCTCTTCAACTTCCACATGATGGAGAGGTCAATCTCTTAGCTACAAGATTATAGCCTAAAGTAGAAGTTTTGACTTCATTGAGTTTGATATTAATGGAAGGCATGGTACCATTATCTGAGAAGTTTAGAATGAAGGATTCTAGAGCAAGGAAAGTAATGTATGCCCAAAATTGACAGACTTAGTTGAGGGCTTCTGAGTAGAGTAGCTGGCCTGAAGAAAATATATGTGTACCTTGGAAATCTATAATCAGAGATTGCCGTTAAGTGCAGTGTAAGCGGGGACTAATATTTCCTAAGCTGTGGCTGTATCCATCCACTAATAACTGTCTAGTGCTATAACATGACATGACATTGATTCTGTCTAACCTGGATGTGAGGAAGAAGGGTTTTTCTTGGCCATTTAGGGATGCCCTGCTAAATTGGATTTCCTTTCTTCTTCAAGTCTCAGTCCCAGAATCAAACTCTCAATGATAACTTTTCCATTCACTATTTTTTAGAAGCTCTATTAGGTTCTTGTGAAAATATAATTCCCTGGGGTCTCACGAAATATTTAGTAATTCCATATTGACTGTGTTTCTCAGGTCTCTTTGGTTACCCTAGCTAAATAGAATTGTACAATTATTTTTCTCCTTGTACCATGGATAAAGTTTCTCAGAAGGAGCTGAAATTACTTATTTATTTTAAATATATTGAATGTTCCTCTAATATATCATGTAAATTTTTACTCAGGATATTCAATTTTATAAATACTAGCAGGGTGATATGAAATAATTTGTGCATAATCAGAATATTTAAAATAAGATTGCTGGTTTTGAGATGTTAGATGTACACTTTGCTGTAAATTTTCAACTGTGATGACCAAGGAACTGTTCATAAGATAAAATAAATGGTGCATCTAGAATGGATAATATTTAGGTTTGTGATAGGCTTAGAATCAAAGTTCCATATTTCAATAAATTCAGTACCACCCCCAATAACAACAAATCAGTCATAGATATTTAGTGAGCATTTTATTTCTGTGTAAGTATTAGGAGGAAATGTTTTCACTTTGAAATCCCAGTTTCATACAATTTCTTGTTATTTATTTAAGTTATAGTAAACAATCTGTGAGAATAACCATATGTAGTTAGGCATATATTGCCGTGGTTGGTAGTGTTGGGAATGAAACCCATGGCCTTGCTGACCTAGCCTAATGAGCTTCAGGGAGGATGTGAAACAGAAAACGATTATTTCTGAATATTGGTGACGATCTTGAGAGGCATCTGATTTTGACTACTGGACATATTCAATATGACTGCTCTTTCCAACCCTCTTTATTAGGCAAAGGGCAAAAGATTAGTTCTTGTATACCACTGAGTAACTTTATATGTATGTAATTGTAAAATAAGAATAAATAAGGCCTCAAAGACAATTATAAATGATCATAATTGTCTGAATAATTCAAGGGCAAACGAAACAGGATGCTAAGTTTTTTTTACATAATTTAGATAATTGAAAAAAATCACAAGAGTGTTTTAGTACATGAATCTCTTGAAAGTTGTCAAGTCTTTTATGCAGTCCAAGCCATAGAGTGCTGGTGGTTTTCAGATTGTCACAACAGGAAAATAAATGTATGATTTCTGCCATTACTAATCAATATCCCATAATAAATGCTTAGCTATTAAGTCTGCACAAAATGCTCTCAGCCATTTAACACCATTGAAATAGCAGATCTCAAAATTGAACACACTCTATCTTGCTCTCCACATTAATTTTCCTCTGTTACATTATCTCCAGATCAAAAGGATATCACAGCTAAATACAACAATTTAGGTTCTTAAATTATATCTACCATTTGTAATCAATTCTTTGTACATAAAATATATTATAATTATAATTATAAAATGAAAGGAAAAAGTGCTTAGTGACATGAGTACCAAAGATCTTTGCCTGTTTATACTTTACAATGTGTTTCTATAGGAACATTTTGTTGCAGCTGCATCTAATATTCTGGGAAGTTGCTATACTTTGAATATAATAATAAAATCACAATGTGAAATTGATTTTTAGAAGGATCTAGGAAGCTATTTAATTTTGTCCACCATCTCCCTTGTTTAGTGATAATACCATACTCCTAAATTGATATTGATTGGACCAATAATGACTGTTTATACCTATTTAAACACTCTCTTAGAGATGACTGGGGTTCCCTTGCAGACTCCCAGTTGGACTGCCACTCACCACTCTGGGTGGAACCAACTCTGTCATAGCCAGAAAACAACTTAAAAGAAGGCTAGTACAATTTCTTCCGCCCTAATACTGTTTATACAAGAATCAAGAGAATGAGCCTCAGCCATCTGTCTTGGAATTTTCTTCCAGAAAGTGGATAGAATAAGCCAGAAAACATCTTTTTTATTAGCTACCTTGACATGACCATTTAGCAGGAGCGATGACATGTCTATGGTACCCCAAAAGTTCTTTTGAATTTGAAAACTTGAGTCAATTCTTTCAACTTCCATTTAAATTTCTTACCGTCTGTCTTTAGCCATTTTAAATATTTTTATTTATTTATTAAAATTACAACTTTTATTCTAGATAGAGGGAGTACCTGTGCAAGTTTGTTATATGGGTATATTGTATAATGCTAAAGTTTGGGGTACAGATCCCATCACCCAAGTGGTGAGCATAGTACCCAATAAATAGTTTTTCAATCATGCTACCTCTCCCCTCCCCTCTCTAGTAGCCTGCAGTGTCTGTTGTTCCCATGAGTATGTCCACGTGTGCTCAATGTTTAGCTCTTACTTATAAATAAGAACATGCAGTATTTGGTTTTCAGCTCTTGCATTAATTTGGTTAGGATTATGGCTTCCAGCTGCATCCACAATGCTGCAAAGGACATGTTTTTATTTGTTTATTTATTTTACAGCTGTGCAGTATTCCGTGGTATATATGTACCTTTTTTTTTTAAATTCAATCCACCACTGGTAAGCACCTAGGTTGATTTCATGTCTTTGTTATTGTGAATAGTGGTGTGATAAACATGAGTGCATGTGTCTTTTTGGTATAATGATCTATTTTCATTTGGGTATGTGCCCAGTATTGGGATTGCTGAGTTGAATAGTAGCTCTATTTTAAGTTCTTTGAGAAATTTCCAAACTGCTTTCAACAGTGGCTAAACCAATTTACATTCCCAACCAACAGTGTGTAAGCATTTCCTTTTCTCTGCACCTTGCCAGCATCTGATGTTTTTTGACTTTTTAATAATAGCCATTCTGACTAGTGTTAGATGGTGTCTCACTGTGGTTTTAGTTTGCATTTCTCTGGTGTTTAGTGATTTGGAGCACTTTTTCATGTTTGTTGGCCACGTGTATGTCTTCTTTAAAGAAATGTCTGTTTATGTTCTTTGCCCCATTTTTAATGGAGTTACTTATTTTCCACTTTTTCAATTGTTTAAGTTCCTTATAGATTCTGGATATTAGACATTTGTCAGATGGATAGTTTGCAAGTATTTTCTCCCATTTTGTAGGTTGTCTGTTTACTCTGTTGATAGTTTCTTTTGCTGTGCAGAAGCTCTTTAGTTTAATTAGGTCCCACTTGTCAATTTTTGTTTTTGTTGCAATTGCTTTTGGAGACTTAGTCAAAAATTCTTTGCCAAGTGTGATGTTGAGAAAGGTATTTCCTAGGTTTTCTTCTAGGATTTTTATGTTAATAGTTTCAGGTCTTACATTTAAATGTTTAATCCATCTTGAGTAAATTTTTGCATATGGTGAAAGAGACCTATGGGATAGCATGGAAAACTCAGAAATAAAGCCGCACACCTACAACAATCTAATCTTTGACAAGGACAACAAAAACGTGCAATAGGGAAGGGACACACCCCATTCAATAAATTATGCTGGGATAACTGGCTAGCCATATGCAGAATAATGAAACTGGACCCTTACCTGTCTTTTAGAATGGAACAACCTCCTTCAAAATGTCTCCCCAGACTTACTCCAAGGTGAAGCTGTGAGAACACAAGAAGGCTTAGCTTTCAACTAATGCTTACTTTATTTCTGTCTTTTAAAATATATTATTATAATAGCATTATTAGCATATTACAGGAGGAAAACCATTTGGGAATAATTAAGTGAACAGTTTCAGTTTTTCCTCAACATTAACAATACTCAATTTTAACTCCCACTTGTGTCTGGTCAAATAAATACAAAATATTTCAGTTTTAACTTCTTTTTATCCGTAATGTTCTCACTCTCCGTTTCATTTTTCCTCATCAACTAACATCTACGCCTTTTACCTATATAACAGATACTCCAATTTCCTGTAGGCATCTAATATCTCTGTCCACTCATGAATCTTATCCCAATGGGAAGGATAAAAGTATTAAAATAAAAAAATCAATTAGGGTTTTAAAATAGCCTACTTTATGTATTTTAAATACTTAGTGTAGACAGTATTTTATATGTTGTGATTTGAGAAATGTATTTGCATTTTATAAAATAACATTAACAAATTCTAATAAACCAACTTATACTTGTTCTTATTCTTTGACAATTTCCTAGTTCCTTTCACATTTGAAATCTGAGCACTGACATCCAGAGTTTGTGGTGTGAAAAGCATTATTAGTACACGTAAACTCTTGTAGGTTTACTTACTGCACGTTAAACTTCAATCTCAACCTCAGAATTTCTAGATTCATTTGACTAAACTATCTATATTTATCCCTTAATGCCCAATTGACCTTAATTGTCATTAAGTTTATCAGTCTCAGATTCTCTTCTAATGACATTGTAGGA
Organism: Homo sapiens; assembly: GCF_000001405.40. Lineage (NCBI taxonomy): Eukaryota > Metazoa > Chordata > Mammalia > Primates > Hominidae > Homo > Homo sapiens. The sequence continues at coordinate 95,406,801 of NC_000006.12, read as the reverse complement.
TAAATGGACATGTTGTGTTATGTATCACGTGCTTTGACTGTTTAAAAATGTCTTAGTAACGTCAAGAAGGAACTGCCAAAATAAATAAGAATTAGAGTCTCATTAACGGCACACCAAATTCTCAGTAGAAAAACTTTGAGTATTGTTTGCAGTTTTTATTGGGTTATGAATTCGTAGTTATTAGCATTTAGAATGTCACCGTATCTGAATTTCAGTGGGTAAAACACTACATTTGGATTAAATAAAAACCAAAACTGTTGTTTGTGTGTGTATGTATGTTTACGTGTGTATAAGCCATGCTGTAATAAGATCTTAATGTTGGCCAGGCGCGGTGGCTCATGCCTGTAATCCCAGCACTTCGGGAGGCCAAGGCGGGTGGATCACGAGGTCAGGAGTTTGAGACTAGCCTGACCAACATGGTGAAACCCCGTCTCTACTACAAATACAAAAATTAGCCGGGCGTGGTGGCATGTGCCTGTAATCCCAGCTACTCAGGAGGCTGAGGCAGGAGAATTGCTCCAAGAGATGGAGGTTGCAGTGAGCCAAGATTGCACCACTGCACTCCAGCCTGAGCGACAGAGTGAGACTCTGTCTCAAAAAAAAAAAAAATCTTAATGTTCTGGGCATCGAAAATACTTTATTTAAGAAAACATATATTTTACTATGTACATATTTATTATTTATTATTACTCTACACCCATTAATTATTTGGGGTCTAGATAAGATAGGCTTTTTTCATTCTTTCTAGAACAAACACTTATAATCTCCTTAGTAGTCATGTAACCTTTTTGTTGTTGTTGTTGTTTTGAGACAGGGTCTCACTTTGTCACCCAGGCTGGAGTGCAGTGGAGTGATCACTGCTCACTGCAGCCTCAACTTCCCAAGCTTTGGTGATTCTCCCACCTCAACCTCCCAAGTAGCTGGGACTACAGGTGCTTGCTACCATGCTCGGTTAATCTAAACATTTTTAATCCCTTTCCCCATTTGTATGTTTGTTAAATTCTAAAAGAATGTCATCTTATTTTCAAAAAAATAGCAGTTTGTTGCAATTCAATCAGAACAACTTAATTGTTATACCCCCAAAGGCACTTGGCTACTTTCTGACCAAGGGGGGAGGAACTTGAATTTCAAAACAAGTAAGTATCAAATAACTAAATATGCCTCTTAAACATCTCATCTGGATTTTAACAAATGACTTTCTCCCAACCTATATAAAATAATAATTGCATACTTAAAACAATAAATGTATATTTATTTTATAAAATAAAAAGTGGGTGCTATTAACTGACATTTCTCCTTTTACAGTCTAGCCAAAGAAAATGAAGACATGATAAAAAAAAATCCTGGCTTTTGCTACCAAGTTATAAAAAAGGAACCAATAAATTTTATAAAACTTTCTGTCTGCTATTTGAATAGGATTTCTTTAAACTATGTAAGATGGAGAACCCTGTAGGGATCCTAGTTTTCATTTTCAGATTATTATCTTATTTTCTTCAATCACTTAAACTTTGTATTAATTTTTATGAGAATAAAACACTGGAGCTACTCAGTTTTTTTTTGCCACAATAAAAACTTACCTTTTTTCATTGACCTCTTCATGAACAATTAATTTATAAATTGGCAAGAGTCATCCTCCTCAACTCAATTCTGGAAAAAGGCAATTCCTTGAACACTACCGTGATAAACATAGAAAATACACTTTTTTGGTGTAACATGGTGGAACAGAATTAGTCACAGTAGGAAAACTAGAGTGATTCAGTGAAGATGTCAGAGTTATTTTGAAGCATAAACTGAGGTGATATCGGAAGCTGAGAAACAGGTGCAATTGCTGCTGTTTTCCACAATGCATGTGTATGATTGATGTGAAACTTACTTTCTGTTCATAATATCACCTATTCAGGATGGACTTGACTATATACACTTTTGTTTCCACTCATAAGCACTTAAAATATTTATTAATGCATTTTAAAAATTCTTACTTTTGAAATAGATGTTTAGCATTTACTAGATTAAGGACACCTAATATTTCAGTCATGGACTTTTTATAATCAGATGAAGGTTGTTTACTCTCTCCTAGAGAAATATGAATATACCCACGTTTTACATACAGTTTTCAAGAGCTTACTAACTCCATACAGCCCATGGACCCAGGTTACAAACTTGTGTCTGAGATTACAAGATGTGAGATTAAATTTAAGCATTAAGGAGTTGCAATTAAGTAATTGTTATTACCTTGTGTGCAGCAAAAACTGTATGTTTCAATAAGCAAGCATTTTCAAAGTGTTCTTCAGATAAATAGGTTATTGCATGTGAAAATATTTGAGGCTAAAAGTCTTGCCTTGGCTCTATAGTCAAACATGCTTTTAAGAAATGCTGCATTAAACAAATGTTAACAACTATAAACAACTTTCTTTTGATCACGATTCCTCAGAGTCTTTATTACTCGAATGTGTATTTTGATTCTCCAAGAAGAAAAATAAGTTCAGAAGGTTTGAAAAATATATTTCCACATTGATTTTTTTTGTTGAATCTCTCACAATAATATATGTTTCTTTGAATCTCAAGAATTTGAGAAATATTGCAATGAGTTTTTCAAATCAGGCAACAAAAAATTTCTTTAGAGATACAACCCTATTAAGCATTGTAATCGTTTGAACATCACTGAATTACATTTTGATGCAAGCATATTGATACATTCTAGAAACCCTCACAAATGAATTCAGTAGATATTTCAAACTCTAAGTGGTACTGATGTGCAAACTTTTCAGTTGGGCACATTCTGTAATGGTGGCATTTCTCTAATAACTACAATTATATGCCACTTTAGAGAACACAGGAACCTGAATTAAATAAATGTGAGGAAATTTTGAATGCACTCCGTGGATTAGACCATTGAATAAGAAGTAAAATTGCAAATTCATTTTTTAAGAAACAGAGCCAACATTGTGTCTAGTATCTGAATGGAGGGCCCTGTAGTCAGACCCTCCCTAACGTAATTTCAACCACTCTTGATTCTGTAACTGGGTTTAAAAGGTAGCCATTGTGTGTTTCAGACTAGAGACAATTTTATGCACTTGTAATTCTACTTATTTGGTTTATGTGGGATTATATTACATGCACATGAAAAGAAAGGAATGTTTTATGAATCTAGGGAAATTTCTAGGTTACTAGAACATTGATAGTCCTATTCAGCATCCAAAACATTAAATATGTATAAATTTAGTCCACTTGAGTTTGTTACACTACAAACTGATGCAGTGATAAATAGACTGAGCCTATTTTAACCTAAGTATGTAAGTTTTTTTCCATGGAATAACTTCAACAGTTTTGAAACAATGAATTTATTAATTCATGGCATTTAAATTCATTAGTTTGGTGAACTGATAAATTTAATGATGATTTCAAAGTAATTATCTTCATTTGAAAGCTAACTAAGAGAATTTAGGACAGAGTGTAAGAATGTTCTCAGATATCTTTGAATACAAGTTTCAACTTCTCCATCTTGGCCTCAATTTCTGCCTTTGTCCATGCCTCTTTCTTTGATATATATCTCTATAACCATATACACAGCTACATGGTATATCAGTATATACAACCCCTCTATCCCAGCCAGAATCTTGGGAAAAATGTTTCTTTCCTTTTGTAGACTTTTGTCTTTTCACAAATTACTCTTTTTCATATTTATAAAACATTTCCAAACAGGAGTTATCCCTAACTTCTAAATTAAAAATGTGATTTTAATATCTTGGTTCCTTTATTTCCCAGGAGGTTACATTCCATTATAGATTAGGTACAAACATATTCTATCATGACCCATAATTAGGAATGAAATTACTTCAGAGTAGTTTTGTCTGTGATGGAACTGTCTTACCTTTAGTTATGTGCTTGAACGGATGCAGCCTGATTATCAGCTCTCAACTGAAAATGAGTACCCCAAGCTCCAGCTGCTATGGAGCCTGCATTTTATTTGTTTTTTTTTTTTTTTTTTTTTTCTCATCAATGAGGCAAGTGTAGCATCAACCTGTGAGACACAAAACTGAGCGTGGAGATTCAACACTTTATATGGCTATATTAGGCAGAATGTTGTAAAATCAAACACATTGCTGTCTGTGAAGTTAAGGGAATGGAGTTTATACAAATCCAATATTCTGGTCAAGAGAAAGAGTAGGTATATTATAACAGTATAAAATTATAAAGTATTGAAGAATTAGAATGCAACGAAAAACACAACTATAGATGAGTAACAATAATAATTTGACTTCTCTTTGATAAAATGCTTTTGGTCTTGGTGTTACTATTAACTAGTTATTGTAAGAAAAATTTCAGAAGGATTACTAAATAGACATTTTAACATTTTAAATTAATGTCGTACTAGAAAAATAAAATTTGATATATATATGTATGATTCAATAAAATGTGCCCTGAGGAAGTTATTTTGTAACCTTTCAGAATATATGAATTTGGATGGGAAAAAAATATGTATGAATGCACCCGGTCTGTCTACTCTTCCTTTAATTGGCAAATATATGAGAGATAGATAATAATCAGATTTGCATGGTTTTCTATACATGGATTTATGCCTTACATTCTGTCAAAGGTTGAAGTTTTAAAATTCTAGGTATGTGAACATGAATGAGAACTGTGCCCTGAGAATCAGAAAATAAGGAATATTTACCATGGGAATTCTGTTATACTTATTTCTAAGATTAATTTTCCCCTTGAGAGAGTTACAATGGGTTGCTCTGAGTGGACAAAAGCCAAAACTGCCTAATTTTGACTTTGGGAATTGAATTTTCCTAATTATTGTATATGCGACTGATATACATCAGATTACTACCTAACCGCTGTGTTGTTCTAGGTTGAGTTAATTTGGAAAACAAAAGCAACCATTTAGACAATGGTATAGAGTTTCACTAATACCAGTTTAATGCTTTCACAGATCAGAAATCAAACATTAATTTGACCTGCCTTGTTTAATATTTGCCTCTTTTATTCTCCATAAAATTGTTGCAGATCCTCTCTAATAAATTTTCTTTCAGCAAGTTATTGATTAGATTTTTAACCTTTGAGAACTGGGTTCCTGTTTTAGCATGCTGCATTTCAGCCAAGGTATATATTAGTGTCATCACTGATCATCTGTAAAATCCTCCCTGGATAATTTAAATTTTTGCTAGATGTATTGCTAGAGTAATTTATTGGAAGGAAAATCCACAGTATAATTATAAAACAGCATGGTTGACCTATTTTTCTCACTTTTCATTTTTTCTCTATTGATTTCAGTTAAATGTGTCTTTAGCTTGTTTTTTAAACTTCAAGATGGCACTGTATCTGCTTCAACTGAAAGTATGATAAAGAATAACACAATGAAAACTATGAGAAAAAAAGCACTTGTAAATATGTTTTATCCTAGTGATTTGAGTTTGGGGGAGAGAGGGGAACTCCTATTTGTCATATAATTATAATCCAGGCTGCTGAGAAACATTTTCTTAAGGCATTCAGTCAAGTTGTACAAATGGAACACAATTATTAACTAAAGAGAATAATATTTATTTAATTATATTTTAGATTTAAATAAAGCAGACATGTATGTAACCATTTCTCTAACCAAAATGTATGGTACCACTGTAAATCTAACAAGTAGAGGAGTTTTTCTCACTCACCAGAGTCAATCATTACTCTTTGAATAAAGCTGTTTTCTAAGGCTCACATGTAAATAATCTGGAAGTTCCGTCATGGTGGTGGGAGGGGGACTATGATCATTTTGCTTCAATTCAAATGAAATATTTACTGAATGCTTATAATTTGGAACAGCAAACTGCTAGACTAGAGCGGGGGTTACCCTGAATTGACCATATCTCTCCTATTGGTGAAAATTTATATGGATCTCTCAGCCACAACCTAAAATTGTAGCAACAGCAGCAGATGGAGAAGGGCTTACACTCCAGGAGATAGTAGAAAGACCACAAAAAGGATTGGTCAATTGCTACTAACAAGGGCTGGAGTTTATAGTAGATTTCAAAGTGTAAATATATCCTGCGTTAAAGCGCAATTCATCTGATTGCTTTTCTGCCTCATGTAACAAGACTTCTGCATATAATCTAGTAAGAAAATTAGGCATTTAGATTAGAAATTATACCCAAAAGAACTTTATAAGACTCCTTGATACATTTCAAATCCCCTATTTCTTAAATCTTGTTAGTTTTTATTTTTTTCAGATTTAAGATCTTGAAACACTAAAAAATAAAGGAATTAGTAATGATTTGGTGGCTAGGAAGGACATATCTATGCCCTTCCAAGATAATCTGTGGAGGAGAGAGACACCCCAAGATGGAGAAGAAAAAAAATAGATGTAAATAGGAAAGGGAAGTGCTTCTGAGTTAATTACAGGAAAATGAGGACTCCACAGGATATCTCTGGTACCTACTGTCAGGGAGACTACGCTTTAGTGGAGAACATGCCACTAAAGTGACTGTTTATCATGTTTACTGCCTAGACACCCTGCCTAATTGAGGAGTTCCAGCACAGCTAGGAAGTACGACCCCGACCAATATTCCCTCTCCCAGCTCCTAGGATGCATGAGCATTAGCTAAAATGCTTGGATACTCCTGTTCAGGGCTTTAGATATGAGGTAAGTGATGCCAGAAAAAACTAAAGATCTTATAATTCATTCTGGAAGGAACAGTGGAGGCAGCCTCTGGTGCTGTGCTATTTGTGATGGCGGTACATCCACGTTCCATAGCAGTCACAATGATGGTGTCAACAGGGGCGGCATGTGGCCTACCTACTATTCCTTTGGAATGGTTTTGGCTGCAGTTCTTGTTCCCTAGTCTGTTTCAACTCTTGCCAGTTTTTGTAGTCTGTTTCTTTAGCCTTCTCATTGATTCTGTGACATACTGCCATCTTTTCAATAATTTCTTTTTCATATTACATTAACCAGGGTGTGGCTTCTTATATTTTCAAGTAGTAATTCTGACTGATGAGCAAACTTACCAAAGATGAAATAATGTTGGAATAGGAGGAGGAAAACCCCTCCTTGGGAATAAAGATACAGAAATGATGTGTTACATATAAAGAGGCAGGGATTTCTTTTTTCTTTTTTTTTTTTTTTAGGGAGTTTGTTGTTGTTTTTCTGGTTTTGTTTTTGTTTTTATTATACTTTAAGTTTTAGGGTACATGTGCACAGCATGCATGTTGGTTACATATGTATACATGTGCCATATTGGTGTGCTGCACCCATTAACTCGTCATTTAACATTAGGTATATCTCCTAATGCTATCCCTCCCCCCTTCCCCCACTCCACAACAGGCCCCAGTGTGTGATGTTCCCCTTCCTGTGTCCATGTGTTCTCATTGTTCAATTCCCACCTATGAGTGAGAACATGCAGTGTTTGGTTTTTTGTCCTTGCAATAGTTTGCTGAGAATGATGGTTTCCAGCTTCATCCATGTCCCTACAAAGGACATGAACTCATCCTTCTTTATGGCTGCATAGTATTCCATGGTGTACATATGCCACATTTTCTTAATCCAGTCTATCATTGTAGGACATTTGGCTTGGTTCCAAGTCTTTGCTATTGTGAATAGTGCCACAATAAACATACATGTGCATGTGTCTTTATAGCAGCATGATTTATACCCAAAGGATTATAAATCATGAGGCAGTGAGGCAGGGATTTCTTAATGAAGATGTGGCCTGGAGTGGGAGGCAGTGTTCAAATCCAATCTCTGTCATTTAGTTCCTTTATGAAAATTGCCTAACCTCTTTAGACCTACCTGACTTAATTATCATTATTCTCTTTTATAGAGACCCTAAGCAGCTTGACCAATCCTGTAGATAGAAAATGCAGAGATTTATTTGAACATAGATATCTCTAACCCCAAATCACATGCTTTTATCACCACACTAAATGGCCTCTCGTATGCAGAATGAAGTTCAAATTCCTTTCATTTACTCCCTTCACTTCACAATCTTGTCCAGAACTCATGATACCCTTGTGTTTAACCTACAGTGGTGTCTTCGTTGGTCTATAGAAATTGTCCATTCAAACAAAAGTAATTTCAAAATAATTTATATTAAAGGACAAAAGCACAACTCCAAAGATCTTCACAGAATATGGTTGATTTGACAGAAAAGATATAATGGCAGTTAAAGAAGAAAACCAGGGTCCCATATCCAAAAAAGATATTTCTATGAGTAGGTCACACAGTATAAGCATTGCCAGGAAAACATTCTCATAAACTTCTCCCTGAGTTTTAACACCTGAAAGCATACTAATGCAAGTTATATCATATGGTCAAGGTGATGTGTAGGCTGTTTTATCTCTGAGTAGGTACTAAAAGTCTATTATGTAACATGTTCACTATTTTGCAGTCACACACCTGCACCATAGTATTGCTTTCTATCAGCTTCCACTCTTCTCAAGCTCTGAAAAATGTATCCTCCGACCTTGAGATGTATTTCTCATCATATTATCCTCTTTATTTTTTATTATAAAATCACTTCACCTTTAACAATCTAAGGAGAAGCCACTTTAAGATTTATTAAAAACAAAAAAAGCAAAAATTGTGTGATGCAAGAGGTCTCTCAATGGGAAGCAGGAAGAAAAATTTGCGAACATTCACGTTAGTGATATTTAGCCAAGTTCTCTTGTAGCCAGTTGTAAGAGCCTGCCGTCCATTTTTTTGTAAATGATGTTCTGTTGAAACATAGCTCCTCTCATTTATTTAAGTATTGTTCATGGTTGTTGTCATGTTACAGTGGTAGATTTCATAGTTGTAACAGACACCATGTGGTTCATGAAACCTGTAAAATTTGTTTCCTGACCATTTACAAGAAAAACAAAAAAAAAAAAAAGCTAACCTCTGAATTAGAGGGATAGATAGGTTGGATTAGGAAGAAAATATGAAAAGAAAGCTGAAGAGGCCTGAGCCTGCATCTAAGGAATGTCTGTATACTAGGATTTTTTTCCCTTTCATTTTGAGGATATTACTGGCACTTTTACATTTACAGAGAAAGGATAAAAGGTTCATTAAAGCAGCTTTCTAAAAGGATAGTAGAGATGAAAGTGCATCCTTTAGTTCAGACCTTCTTTCCTTCTATCAGGAAAATAAAAGTAGGAACAGGATACCCCATTGGTTTTCAGCTTTTAACTTTAGGAGACTGTGCAATTTCTGGCTATGGGAGGCATTTCACCCAGGTAAAATTCCAGAGATTTCCTGCAACTGGTTTTATAGTTAAATTAGTAAATGTCTATTAGTCAAAAACTTACAAGCATAGATTCTAATCCATTGTCCTAACAAAAATATATAAAAGAAGGGACAGGTGATATAGTTTAACACTATGCTGTATATTTTAAGCTTCACTAAGAAATGGAAATGACAAACAGATGAATTTGGGTGATAATGTTTTAATTTACCTCTCTATTTAAGGATCTAGCCTAATCACATTATCTTCAACAAGGAAGACAAGGCTTAAATTGCAAAAGGAAATTTGGAAAGACTGTCAGCAGTTGAACTAACTATTCTACACATGGGTGACTTCTCAATGACTCCACATCTAATACTGTCTCTAAAACTTTCCATTAAATTAAATGAGTGAATAATTCAAGAAAGAGGCATCTTCCTTAACCCTGTCATGTGTTCTCCAGAGGATACTCTTGATGATGTTGTTTTGGCTTTAAGGCTGCATAGGTTTTAAGTTTGCACAAAAACTTTAGATCTCAGAGATGCATTCTAACTGGGAATGTTGTCTCTGAAGATTACATTTCTATTTGGGCATCCGCTCCTACATAAGTATTATTACAATTAAAAAAATGCCAAAACATATTTAATAAAAATATTTTAGCATCTAAGTGCCTGATAAAAAAGTCAATTTAAGGAAACCAGATTGTTATCTGATTTGGTGATTTCTTATTCAATTTGGTTCATTCCCATTTCATGTTGAGTTTTTAATTGAAAGTCTTTTTATTTAAAAGACTTTTAAAAGCCTATTACTTGAAAGCAAATGAAACAAGTTAAAATACATTTTCTATTTTATTACTGTGGAAAAAGCTGACATGATTTAAACAAATAAGTTCTGTTTGTATTTTTCTAAAATATTTAGACCATAAAATAAATTCTTTTCTCTAAATATTCAAGTTTTTTTTTTTTTTTTTTTTTTTGAGATGGAGTTTCGCTCTTGTTGCCCAGGCTGGAGTGCAATGACGTGATCTTGTCTCACTGCAACCTCCACCTCCCAGGTTCAAGCGATTCTCCTCCCTCAGCCTCTTGAATAGCTGGGATTACAGGCGCCTGCTGCCACACCTGGAAAATTTTTTGTGTTTTTAGTAGGGACGGGGTTTCACCATGTTGGCCAGGCTGGTCTTGAACTCCTGACCTCAGGCGATCCACCCGCCACCTCAGCCTCCCAAAGTGCTGGAATTACAGCCATGAGCCACTGTGCCTGGCTTTTATGTGTGCATCTTGATGTGTTCAACATGAATGTTTGTTTTGATTATTGACAACTTGCTTAAGATCACAAATAAAAATGAGTAAAAAAGTATGTTTCTCTGAGAGACTTACAGGAATAATGTAATGATGGTTTTCCATGCAGTTCATTCTTGACTTTCTAAAGTTTGTAGTACAGTTTCAAGATGAAATTCCAGTTGAATTTATAAAATATTTGAACATCAAAAACTTAATAAATCTTACTTACAGATTCTAGGAAGAACCTTTTTCATGCTCTTCATATACTCCACTCCTCACATTCAGAATCCCTGAGCAATAATGTGAACTAACCGTCTTCATTTAACTAAATGTTATTTATAAATGTGTCAAGACTAGCTAAATAAAAGTCACATTCTCCAAATGACTCTGTCTTAGGAAATATCTGTAATATAACAAACAGTCTCTCAGACCACAGTGCAATCAAATTAGAACTCAGGATTAAGAAACTCACTCAAAACCGCACAACTACATGGAAACTGAACAAAACATAACAAAATGAAGGCAGAAATAAAGATGTTCTTTGAAACCAATGAGAACAAAGACACAACATACCAGAATCTATGGGACACATTTAAAGCAGTGTGTAGAGGGAAATTTATAGCACTAAATGCCCACAAGAGAAAGCAGGAAAGATCTCAAATTGACACCCTAACATCACAGTTAAAAGAACTAGAGAAGCAAGAGCAAACACTTTCAAAAGCTAGCAGAAGGCAAGAAATAACTAAGATCAGAGAGAACTGAAGGAAATAGAGACACAAAAAACACTTCAAAAAATCAATGAATCCAGGAGCTGGTTTTTTGAAAAGATCAACAAAATTGATAGACTGCTAGCAAGACTAATAAAGAAGAAAAGAGAGAAGAATCAAACAGAAGCAATAAAAAATGCCAACAGACATATGAAAAAATGCTCATCATCACTGGCCATCAGAGAAATGCAAATCAAAATCACAGTGAGATACCATCTCACACCAGTTAGAATGGCAATCAATAAAAAGTCAGGAAGCAACAGGTACTGGAGAGGATGTGGAGAAATAGGAACTCTTTTACACTGTTGGTGGGATTGTAAACTAGTTCAACCATTGTGGAAGGCAGTGTGGCAATTCCTCAAGGATCTAGAACAAGAAATACCATTTGACCCAGCCATCCCATTACTGGGTATACACCCAAAGGATTATAAATCATGCTGCTATAAAGACACATGCACACGTATGTTTATTGCGGCACTATTCACAATAGCAAAGACTTAGAACCAACCCAAATGTCCATCAGTGATAGACTGGATTAAGAAAATGTGGCACATATACACCATGCAATACTATGCAGCCATAAAAAATGAGTTCATGTCTTTTGTAGGGACAAGGATGAAGCTGGAAACCATCATTCTGAGCAGACTACAGCAAGGACAGAAAACTAAACACTGCATGTTCTCACTCATAGGTGGGAATTGAACAATGAGAACACTTGGACACAAGGTGGGGAACATCACACACTGGGGCCTGTCGTGGGGTGGGGGGAGTGTGGAGGTATAACATTAGGAGAGATACCTAGTGTAAATGATGAGTTAATGGGTGCAGCACACCAACATGGCACATGCATACATATGTAACAAACCTGCACGTTGTGCACATGTACCCTAGAACTTAGTATAATAAAAGTATAATAAAAATAAATAAAAAAAATATCTGTAAGGATTCTAAAATCAAATTGATTCCGATATATCTATGGGTGAAATTTGCTGCCAATATGAATACAAAATGAGAAAACTGGCATTATTTCATATCTTAAATAGTAGGAAAAATCTGAGTTTATTAAAAATACTGAACAAAATATTTTAAAACTAACGAATACTATCCAAAATTTCTAAATCATCTAGTTTTCATTTCAGAGGATACTATTTGTCAGTCCTCCCTCTGCTTTTCCTTTATTTATTGGAAATGACCACAGCTATTTAATACGATGTGCCTAAAGACATATTTTGTGAAATGAACACACCATTTTCTATAGTAGCAACATGCTAGAAATGCATTTTAGACCTGATATAAGTCGTTTAGTTTATTCTATTTTTATTTGCCTATGTATACTCGCTTCTGCAGCTCAGATTTCTCTAAGGAGAGAATAAAGTAGGAAATCTAATTTAAAAGTATAAGCTGTGAGCAGTTGAGGTTTAATTCAGGAATTTATAGACTCACCACTGGCAATAAGCTCTGAGGAGTACATCTAATATAGTGCATTATGGCATCATCATTCAATGTGTTGTATGTAAGTGCTTGTCAGCATTTCTATTTTAGACTTCTATTTCCTGGTGTTCATGATTTGATCATTAAGAATTGCTGGGGCTTGAACAAACAATTTGTGAAGATTTAGTTTTGCAGCAAATTGTATAATTTTCATTTCTGAGCAGTAGAATGAATAACAAAGTTGCATGAAGAATAAAATCAAGTCAACGAAGTTGTACTTAGGACTTCACCTTGTAAAAGAAGCGGAGGGAGAAATCATCTTGTGTGGATTGTGCATTAAATATTCTGAATAAATAAATGGGAGAATGTATCAAGAAGTTGAGCTTGGAATTAAGAGGAAAGGCCAATTGAAAATGAAGAAAATATTTTTTTAAAGCTTTGTTGAAGTATACAATACACATTTAATGCAATAATCTTTGTTTAGTAGGACAATGCTATGGAGAGAAATACAATGGTAAGCTTTTGGGAAATGAGTTATATAAAAACGTAGTCTGTTAATATCTAACAAGTCCAGGAATGATGAGCTTTGTGCTCCTTTGTGGTTGTGGTCAATAAACAATTGCTCTGTTGGAGAGGCTTACATGTCACCTCAGAGAGTGGTGACTCCAAGCTTACATCCCAGCATTAAACCAGACAAAAACACAGACAAAATGTGTCTCTTATTTCTTTTGCTACAGCAACAAGATTAGAAAGCTGCATAGTAACAGTAGATGTAAAAGCCAATAATCCAATATTATAGTATAGAAAGAGACAGAAAAAGAGTCCCATAATATTGTCGTGCTATAGTCTATGGTTCCCTTAACCAACTGTGGACACCAATTGGGTTTAATTAACTCTCCTTCTTTTCAGGAAAGTACCATAATTCCAACTTCTTGAATTTTCTACATATGTTCATAAACTATGATTCCATTCTATGGCATAGTTACATACTGCAGATTGGGTTCCAGATCTAGCTAGGTCAATTACAATCTCCTTCCCAATAATTTGGAATTAGGAGCAAAGGAGAGAGAGACAGAGGACAGTATTTTGCTTAGAGAAAGACAGGGGAGCAGACATGCAGAGAGATGTAAAGATAATAGAGTAGAATCCTAATAGGTTCCTGGTTCTAATTTGTTCCTGAGGTTGAGCTGCCTATCTGTTCTTGGATTCTCTTGATACTCCAGTGTCCATTAAATAAATCCCCTTCTTGAGCTAAAGCTTCTTAGCTTCCATTACTTGAGCTGGGATCCTAACAAATATACAAGTTAACAAGGCAATACCGATAAAGTGGCAGCCATTCAGTTTCACAAAGTTATAAGACTTGATTTATTTCTTTGATCTCTCATATATTCATCTTTACATACTGGGGATCAACTTGATTAACTATTAACTATCAATTGGTTAATTGATCTCGGTGTCTTATTTAAAAACAATCCAGATTAATTGAAGCCTATTTTTGTCACCATGATTTTTCTAATTTCCCTCCTTTAATTACCTGTTGCTTTACTTGTTTCTTAGCATAATTTTTTTTTCAATATCTGAACTCTAAAGCCCTATTATTTAGGTGAGATGTAAAATCTTCAGTGTGATCTATGTCTTTGTGTTTAGATTCTTTTGATTATAGAAAACAAAGGTAATACAGAAAGAATAAAAACCTCAAATTGAATTAAAGAATAAAGGGTATTTTTCAAATCTGGGCAAAAAGATAGTAGTTATTTCTGAGGAAACCAAATCTAGTTACGTTTTTAGGCCCCCATCTCTTGTGGCCCCCAAAAACTCTAGATTCTTTCAATGAGGTAACAAAATGACTACAGTAATTCTAGCTTTCCTATAACACATTATACCACACAGAGGAAAATTGAGACTATTGTCCAGTAGTTCCTGGAAAAGGCATGGGATTTTTTTCTATGCTTTGTCCTTTACTGGGTCAGATGACCATCTGGGCCTAAAAGAATAAAATATACAAAATTTGTTTAAACCAGTAAGGCTTCACTCTTAAAGTCAAGAAAAAAAGAAAATTTCAACCAAAATGCAGTTCTGATAATAGGGGAGACAAAACCTCTCAAAAGATAATCATACCATCCCTAGTGATATAAAGAGGAAAAAAGATGTTGGGAAGGCAATTAGTAAGTGTTGATGGTACCATATGTCTGCATTGTTTCACAGAAGCCAGGTCACTTTAGAGATCTTGGATCAGGTGGTATGAAATCTCCTCCATTTGCATAAGAAGATAAACCATGGATGGGCTTCTGAATCAGAAAGATGCAGGATATAGGAAATCTTATGGTGACATAGGTAGTAATTAAACAAACAGGGAATTGTGAGAATACAGACCACTAGAACCAAGGCAGGAAGGGCACAGAACTGCTAAAGCAGAAAATGGCAATAGTAGGAAAGCTGGGAGAATGTGAGCATGCCAGACTGGGATAGAGCTCCCTTGGCCTCAGGAAAATGGAGGAATCAATCTTGAAAGAGATGAGAGTCTCAGAAGCATTTGCTAATAAGCAGAATATTATAATTTGCAAATGGAGGGAAGGATTGGGTTCAAACTTCAGAATGTAAATAAAATTATACCAGATGACAGATGCATTCCTTCATCCCTTCACTCACCCATTTTACAAGTTTTTATTGTGTACCTACTATGTGTCAGGTTCCATGTTGACTTCAGAAAGCACGGATGTAGACCAGACAGGATTCTGACATGATAATGCTTATAGTTAAGGGAATTTACAATTACATTATAAAAGATACTCTGAAAATGTCTACCCAGGTTACTCTGAGAGAAAATAAGAAGGGCAGCTCATTCATCCTACAGATGGAAGTCTTGGAGGGCTTCTGACAGTATGGATTCTGAGCAGAATCCTGATAAATTAGTAAAGCTGGGCAAAGTATTCTGTACAGAAGAACTGCTTTTGTGCAGATCCTGATATAATAATCAGATCAGTCATCTTCCTATTTTCCTCTCCAGTGACAGAAAATAATTATATTATTCAAGAGGAATAATAGATATGATCTTCATAAACTGAGGTCTGAGAACCCCCAAATAGTCTATAAAGGTCCTTGTTATGGACTAAATATTTATAACCCCCTCTCACAATACATATGTTGAAACCTAACACCCAATGAGATGGTATTAGGAGGTGGGGCCTTTGGGAGGTAATTACATCCTCAATTGGAGCCCTTATGATAGGATTAGTACATTTTAAGAAGAGAAATGGGAAAGCTTGTTTCTCTGCTTTCTGCCATGTGAGGACTCAGCAAGAAGATGATTATTTGCAAACCAGGAAGAAAAGCCTCACCAGATACCAAATTGCTAGGTACCTTGATCTTGGACTTCCCAGACTCCAGAACTATGAGAAATAAATGTTTGTTGTTTAAGCTACTCAGTCTTAGGCAATTTGTTATAGCATTTTGAACTGAGTAAAACAGATTACAAAAAGTCTGTGAACTACCATTACCCCCACCAAATGTGTTTGTGTGTGGGGTCTTCATCTGAACAAACATTCTAACACAATTATCGTATCTGCACAGGAGTCTATGACACAAGACAGTTCATGAAGAAAATTTAAAATTTCTGCTCTGTGGAAGATACTGCCAAGAGAATGGGAAGTTGGGAGATGATAGTTGTGAAAGATATATATGATTAAAAAAAAACCTGTTTCCAGAATATATAAAGAACACTTAAAAATAAAGTAATAAAATAAAATCTCAAAAATAAAATAATAAACAACCCAATGAAAAATGGGCCAAAGACCTCCATAGAACCTTACCAAAGAAGATATACAGATGGCAAATAAGCATATGAAAAGATATTGCATGTCTACGTCATCAGGGAAAGGCAAGATTAAGATGACATGACAATGGGACATCACTACAAACCTATCAAATGGCCAAAATCCACAACACTGCTAACAAAAAATGCTGGCAAAAATGTGAAGCAACGACGAAGCCCATTCATTGCTGATGGGAATGCAAAATGGTACCACCCACTTTGGAAGACAGTTTGTCAGTTTCTTACAAAACTACACTTAACTGTTACCCATACAACACTGCAATCCCTCTCCTTAGTGTTTACCCAAAGGAGGTGAAAGCTTATATCCATACAGAAACCTGCACATGGATGTTTATAGCAGTTTTATTCATACTTGCAAAAACTTTGAGCCAATCAAGATGTCTTTTAGTCGGTGAATAAACAGTGTTGCCTCCAGTCAATGAAATATTACTCAGTGCAAAAAAAAATAAGCTAACAAGCTACAAAAATACATGGAGAAAACTTAAATGCATACTACTACTTCTTTCACTACTAAGTGAAAGAAGTCAATCTGAAAAGTCTACATGCTATATGATTCCAAATATATGACATTCTGGAAAATGCAAAACTATGGAGAAAGTAAAAACAGCAGTGGTTGCCAAGAGTTGGAGGGGGAGGGATGAATAGGTAGAGGACAGAGAATTTTTAAGGGCAGTGAAAATACTCTGTGTAATACTATAATGCATATAATTAGTATACATTTGTCCAAACCCACCTTGCACAAGAGTGAACTTTAATGTAAACCATGAACTTTGGGTAATAATGTGTCAATATGGGTTCATCAGTTGTAACAAATCTACCACTTGGTGCAGGATGTTGATAGTGTGGGAAAGCAGAGAGCATATGGGAACTCTGTACCTTCCTCTTAATTTTACTGTGAACCTAATACTGCTTTTTTTAAAAAAAGTAATAATAAAGTCTTAATTTGTTTTTAGACAGAAAACTTTAACAATGCTAGCTTTTTAAATGTTCCTTCATTATTTATACCCTTTAAAAACTTTAATTCTACTCTTAGAACAGAGCTTTCTGAAAACTGCCTCCACTGTCCTCTCACTTTCCCAGATTGCATTTTCTCCTTGGGACTACTTCCTGTTGTTTTGTTTTGGAAGGTAGAAAGAGAAAACTGCAAACATTGCTTTTTGTTTGACTTTAACTGCTGCTGTAGTTCATTTTATTTGGACATGAATTGGAGGTAGCACCAATGTGCTCCACTGATGAGTGGCCTGCCTCCGTGGAGATCCTGGAATCCTAAGGAGATGGGCTGCCTGTCCCTACTGAACTCCAAGTAGTGACATCTCAACACCTGCTATGACACATGTGCCTCCTTGTTTGCTATGCAGTCTAGTCTTGGCACTTCATTTCTTCTATCCTCTTTACAGACATGATGGATCCACGGATTCATTCCATAGTCTCTGGAAGCTAGGAGTTGGAAAGTTAAGAGTGTGGTACTGATCATCTTTCCATATGGTAGTTTCCCCTCCAGACCAACTGACCCAAGTTTTTTTTCTCCTGTGCTAGATGTGGTACAGAGAATTTATTAAACCTACTGCCTAAGCTATGCAATAAAGAGTGAAATTTTAGTCCTCCCTTATTGAAGAAAACCCCAATATCTTTGAGCCTTTTTTCTCCACTTTCTTTGTCCCTTTCCCACTTTCTTTGGATTAGGAGAAGAAGAATATTATCTCTCCTGCTCTTGGAGGAGGGAGAAAACAGCCTTTCTTCATAAACAGTGTACTCCTCACAAGGTTGAGGGATTTCTTTCTTTTACTTAAGATGATGGGCTGGTGATCTAGTGGAGGTAAATTCTGGCATCTGACAAGAGACCCAGTAAATGTGGTTTCAATTGCTAGAGACTCCTTTACAATATGGCATGGTTTGCTATTTTCAACATACTCATACCTGGATTACTCTCTCCAGGGCTCACAGCTGGGCCCATTGTTCAACGTACTTGAAGATCCAGCCTCCTTCAAGCTCACTAGACTATCAAGAGGGAGAAATGAAACAGTATAGTCAAGCACCACAGAGTGAGGCATATTAACAATTAAGCTTCTCTCTTTTTGAAGGTGGATATAAAGCCTTAGTATAGATCCATGTGCCATTCATTATTGATGAGATGCAGGTATTTCCCAGTTATGCTAGTGTGGCTCTGAAGCAGCTGAGAACTGAAGTTGATATTGCAGATTCATTGCCTTAGGTCACATGGGCTACACAGTGTCTTTGTGAGCTGGAAATGAGGAGTGGGTGGGACAGAACACAGCACTGTGCTCAAAGGAGTGGGAGTCACCATGGAGTCCCTGCTGAGCTGGCAAAGGAAATATTTAATAAGATGAACTATGGGGCCTGTGTTGATCCTGGTCTACTTTTCATTTACCTGAATGGATAACTGACAGTCAGGAGGCAAGCATTCTATTCAGCAGCTACTTTGGATATTACTACCAGATTTTTAAATTTAACCACACAATGAGACAGACTGCTGATGCCTATTTCCTCTTTCAAAATACCTTTTTCCAATTAATCTGTAAGTGACCTCATTTTAGACTCTGTAGTGGAAAATTGCCACTTAACTGTTTCCTATCCATAACCTGCACCACATTTCCCGTTTGTAGTGTGGGGGAAATTATCTTATGTCTTAGTGAAAAGCAGAATTTGCTACCTAAATCCAAGGCTGAAAACATGAATGCTCACGTTTGCCAGTGCCTCTTTGAAACCTGAGCGTGACCACCTGACCTAGGCTTGGCTGCTCAGATGCACCCACCCTGAACATTGATGGAAAGAAGCAAGGTGGTGGTGTGTTGCGGGAAGTCAGGGACCCTGAACGGAGGGACCAGCTGAAGCCATGGCAGAAGAACATAAATTGTGAAGATTTGATGGACATTTATTAGTTCCCCAAATTAATACTTTTATAATATCTTACGCCTGTCTTTACTGCAATCTCTGAACATAAATTGTGAAGATTTCATGGACTCTTACCACTTCCCCAATCAATACCCTTGTGATTTCCTATGCCTGTCTTTACTTTAATCTCTTAATCCCATCATCTTCGTAAGCTGAGGAGGATGTATGTCACCTCAGGACCCTGTGATGATTGCGTTAACTGCACAAATTGTTTGTAGAGCATGTGTGTTAGAACAATATGAAATCTGGGCACCTTGAAAAAAAGAACAGGATAACAGCAGTGTTCAGGGAACAAGAGAGGTAACCTTAAACTGACCGCCAGTGAGCTGGGCAGAACAGAGCCATATTTCTCTTCTTTCAAAAGCAAATGGGAGAAATATCGCTGAATTCTTTTTCTCAGCAAGGAACATCCCTGATAATGTGTCCCTAAGGGTAGACCTCTAAAATGGCCGCTTTGGGGGTGGCTGTTTTTTACGGTTGCAGCTGTAGGGATGAAATAAGCCCCAGTCTCCCATAGCGCTCCCAGGCTTATTAGGACGAAGAAATTCCCACCTAATAAATTTTGGTCAGACTGGTTGTCTGCTCTCAAACCCTGTCTCCTGATAAGATGTTATCAATGACAAAGTGTGCCAAAACTTCATTAGCAATTTTAATTTCACCCCGGTCCTGTGGTCCTGTGATCTTGCCCTGTCTCCATTTACCTTGTGATATCTTATTACCTTGTGAAGCATGTGATCTCTGTGACCCACACCCTATTCGTACACTCCCTCCCCTTTTGAAAATCACTAATAAAAACTTGCTGGTTTTGCGGCTTGTGGGGCATCACAGAACCTGCTGACATGTGATGTCTTCCCCGGACACCCAGCTTTAAAATTTTTCTCTTTTGTACTCTGTCACTTTATTTCTCAGACCAGCCGACAGACACTTGGGGAAAATAGAAAAGAACCTATGTGAAATATCGGGGCTGAATTTCTCCTGATAGTGGTGAGTGATGGCTACACTGGTGGCAACATCTAATCTCCAGGTTCAGCAATGGCAGATTTTTTCAGTGGGGCTTGAAGTACAGCCTCCCTGGTTTGGACCAATTTCTGAGCTTGTTTACCCAGTATTCCAGGTGATTCTGTGAACTATTTCTAATCCTATTCTTCTTAAATCAGCCAGACAATTTCTACACTTGCAACTAACATGATAAAGTGAAATTTTTCTCACATGGCTTAAGAGGAACACCATATTCTTCCTGGCTGAAAAAGGTCAGTGAATTTCTATTATCCACTTTTTTTTTTTTTTTTTTTTTTTTTTTTTGAGACAGAGCCTTGCTCTGTTGCCTGGGCTGGAGTGCAGTGGTGTGATTTTGGCTCACTGCAACCTCAGCCTCCTGGATTCAAGTGATTCTTCTGCCTCAGCCTCCCAAGTAGCTAGGACTACAGGTGTTTGCCACCAGGCCCTGCTAATTTGTGTATTTTTAGTAGAGACGAGCTTTCACCATCCTGGACCCAAGTGATCTGCCCACCTTGGCCTCTGAAAGTGCTGGGATTACAGACATGAGCCACCTTGCCTGGCCTCTACTATCCGCTGTTACTGCTGACTTTTCTCTCTAGTGATTTTGTTACCCAGGGCTATATTCTGGTCAATCATTTTATTTGGTAGAAAATAAACTCAATAAATGACAGATTTAGAATATAGAAGAAAGAAAATTAATATAGTTATGTTTATTAGGTAAATATCATTTTCTTAAGGAAATACTTTAAAAAATTAATTGTACTTATAGAGGTGAATGCATTATTAGTGATGATGATAAAGGTGCACACATACATCAAAACTTATGTGATGATACATTTGAATATGTGCAGTTTATTATATGTCAATTATACCTTAATAAAGCTGTTAACATTTTTATAGCATGCAAATACTTCATTAGTAAAATTTACTTTTGTAATTAATATTTATAAATCTTTATATTACATAAATTGTCCAAAGAATATTGTTACAAAAGAATTTGTAAAGAATATACATAATTGAAAGATGTAAATGTTACAGGATCTTTGGGGTGTCGCTTCACCTGCCAGAAACCTCTGTCGCCAGTGGCGCCTTTCCCCGAGTTTTGCTCAAGGCCAATGGGCTTTTTCCACCCACTTGGCCTGGCAGGCTGCACTTGGCTTGTGCTACTGGCAAGTCAGGGGCCAGCCAGGTATGGAGTGGTGAGGGATGTGTGAGTGAGTGTAGGGTCTGGCCATTGTGCACAGCTAGGCACACCAGCTGTGATGAGGTGGGCAGCTACAGGTGCTGGCACAGGCACCGGCTCCCTGTGATGCTGTGGCTGGACCAGGCATACCACAAGCAGCTTCCACGGTTATGACCAGGGAACGTGGTGGTGCCTGGAAGCTTGGAGATGCCAAGAACCTCACAGCCTCAAAGAGGGTGTCACAGCCCTGCCTCTCAGAGTTCCTAGGTCTAGGCTCCCTGAAGGGGCACAGCTCTTCTCTCCTTCTCTCTTCTCTCCTTCTTGTCATCTGCAAGGTGCTGAGCAAGGGGTGTATTTCAGCTGCGTTTGTGTTACAGCTCTTTAGTCCCGCCATTTGGCTGGTCCTGAGTTCTTGTCCTGCATCCAGAAAGAATGAGGTATGCAGACAAGTGGAGGGAGAGCAAGGTGAAGAGGAGCTTTATTGAGTGGCAGAGCAGCTCAGAGGAGACCCACATTGGGTAGCTCCTCTTTGCAGGCAGAGTGTCCTGAGTGTTCAGCTCTTAGCAGAGAGGAGACCATGGGGTGGGTAGCTCTTCTCAGCTGGTCATCTTGCTGTTTCCTCGAGTCTGGCTGAGTTTTGGGCTTTTATGGGCCACAGAGGGGAGGAAGAATATGCCAATTGGTCCATAGGTGGCCATGGGTGGGCCCAGAAAAAGCACCACAAGTTCCCATTCCAGTCTATGGGACCAGCAGCCCAGCCCCCAGGCTTCAGGATCTCCCTGATTTGAAGGTGGGGCTTCATGTGGGACCTGCCTCCTTCCACCCAAGAGCCAGTGTGCCTCATATGCTGCTGTTCACGGTGCTTAGGCTGTTCATACCAAGGGGCACCTGCAGGTCAGCACTGAGCTGCCCTCAACACCCCCTTGACCTCCTTCCCATGCTTGTCAGTGCCCAAAGTGTGGAGGGGGCTGATGCACCAGTGGGCTGGTGTTTCAGTGCTGCCCTGAGTGTATGTACACTCAAGTGGGCAGTGACAGGGCCTGGGCTCAGTCTCAAACTTGCTTGGATATCAGAGTGGGCACCGGGAGTGGGGAGAGGCCAGGCAGTGGTAACAGACACCTCTGAGCCTGCAGTGGGGTCCTTCCCAGTCCCTGAGAGTGTAGAGATGCCCAGGTCCACAGCCACAGCTTGGGTGCCTACAGCTGCACCTGGGAGGGCAGGGGGGTTTCTGCCTGCTCCTGGCCCCCAAGAGTACGGGGAGTCCTGGGTCCACAGCTGTGAGTTGGGTGGCTGCAGCTATGCCCAGGAGGGCAGGGCTCCTGCCTGCTCCTGGCTCCTGCAAGCTCCCTGGAGCACACAACCCTGGCCATGCCTCCACAACTGAAGCTGGTGTCATGGCAGCAGCCACTCTACATGGGCCATGGCTGCCATCATTAAGTGGTATTTTGACATCGTTAATTGCCTTAATGTATCATTTGGGGAATATAAGAGCCTTCTCAATGAAGGAATTTTTTTCTGATAAAGGAAAAAGTGGACCCTGCCGGAAGAGATAGGCCTGGCACACTTACAGCTGGCTGTGATGTTTTCTTATTTAACATTAATAATTTCACAGAGAAGGCCACTATATAACGATGATGGATTAAGACAAACACAATATCAATTTGTAAAAATCATAAACATTGTCCAAGCCAAAATACAACTAAAGATCTCTCTGTCCTAGCTAATATGAGTAACTTTTGCTTTTTTGCCAAGTCACAGCCTAAGTCCCACTGTATTCTTCTCAGCTCCTAGAAAAAAGTTTTCTGGACAGCATCTGTTCTACAACAGAGCCCTGCTACCTGAACGCTTTTCCAAACTTGCCTAACACAAGCCACAATCCTATAACAAGTCCTTCTTAACACTTTCTTACTAAGACATCCCACATCTCCTATGATGTGCTTTTTCCTTTGCAATAAGTGAATAAATACAAATTTGTTCAATTACAGATATGTTTCTGTTAGTCTTTGATTGAAAGGCATTGGTACTTCAAACGCAAATTTTGCATACTTTAAAAAGTACACCTTAAAGGAAAATCGTATCTGCATTTATCATGAATGCTTGCTTTTCAGGAACATTTTTCCAATCAAGATATTATATGCAATGAGTAATGTGTTCCCAAAATTTTCTCAAAATTACAAAACTTAATGTGACACAAATAGGTAATGATTTATATTGTCTACCAGAAATCAGAATTAAAAAAATACATTTTGCAGGTGTCTTTTTGTAAAGATGTTTTTCGCTGCTGCCTTGTTGTTCTAGTATTAATTTTAGAATCATAGAAGCAAATTATACTCGTAAGGAAGAAGGCAGGTGCTATTCTGTTGCCTGAATGTTGCTTTGCTCTTTAGATTTAACTCTAAATGTAATGGTTAACATGTAGAAAAAGCCCAGATCATTTTTTTTACTTCAATAAAAAAATTGCAATTGAATCTTTTATTTGAAGATAATCTTATTTATATGACAGAAAAGCTCATATTCCTACCATAACAAATCTAAAGAAAAGAATTCTTTTGGCCTAACAAAACTGAATTTGTAGAAGTCATGTTGATATTACTATAATTTTTAAATATTTCTGGCCGGGAATGTAACTGTATATCACCTGTTTTCCTTGATAATATTTAAAAACCAATATGCAGGTGGGAATAGTTATAGATTTCTCATTAAAGGTAAATATTATGCTGAAGAAATATACTTTTGCCTTTCATCCATCATGTTGCTGTCAGCTATCAGCTTTGCACCAATCTTTGTAAATTTTACATAAACAAGGAGTAGAAGGCCTCTCAGTGAAAAAAATAAGGGGTGGGGGCCTTTAGTGCCACTAGTTATGCCTCAAATAAAGTGACTCATGATGCCTCGACAATACAAAAGGCAAGTCTTTTTTTATTTTTTAGTTTTGTTACAGTGAAAGCTAGATACTGGGAACTTATAATAAAAGTTCTTTTTAAAAATCCACAAAATATTTGGAAGTGCATTCAGGTATTGGGAATTCATTAGATTTTTAAAAGAAATTATTTCCTATATGTATGTATGACATGATATAGTTTAAAGGGATTTATAAGAGCAGAAAAATATCAGTATATTTGCCTATGTTCACAGATAATAAAATTTAAATAATCTAGGCATATTTAAGTGTTTTGATTCTTAGCAAATACAATTTTTCCTGAGTTATTACTTGAAAAGAGAAAGGCATACTCTTTTCCTACAACAAGAAACGTCAAGAGCTCATTTCTTATTTAGCACAAATGTCTTGATGACCAAAAGCTTCCATTAGTGACTTGTTAAAAGTAACTTATCAATTGAGTCACATTTCTTAAAGTACATCAATTAATATTTCTTCTCTAAAATATTATCAATAGTTTAATTCACAATACATCTGAACAGGAGCTAGTAAAAAAAAAGCTATGCATTGGTTGCTAAAGATATCTAAAAAATAACTTTGTAACTGAAGATTGATGGAAACCTACAATCTTTCTTTTGAGTTTAAGGCTTTGGGAAGGAGAATGAGAAGGCTTGCCTTTATCTGTATTGGTGAGAGATGAGACAAAACATCTAGTACTTCTTTGAAAAAGACCTAGAGGACGGTCCAATAATACTTTTGTTTTAGGTGTGCTCTTCTATCCTGCTTATCTTATCTGAGACAAGATTTGGTGTAGGTACACTGTATTGATTTACCAAAGGGGATTTTTTAAAATAATAATTCTTTGTTTTGTTCTACTGCTTCTCTTTCGCCTTCAGAAATTTTAGTTTTTTGTTCAAAATTCCTTAACATCATTATAATAACTATGATTGACACCATTACCAACCCTATATTCTGTCTGTTCCAAGTAGATTTTCACTGTTTAATCTCTACCCTTGTCCTTAAATGAAGGCCTCAGACACAACTCTCCCATACTCTGTACCAACAATCTAAAGCTTAGACAAATTAAAGAGTATACAAAAGTATAACATTAAGAATTGTGGCTCCCTGCTGTCCCTGGACCGTTTCCCCAGTGTTTTCCACTTTTAGTAGTTTCTCATAATTCCTAATAATTTCCAGAAAAAAATGTGTTTGCATATTTATCAGTATAGTTTTAAGGTCTCATGCAGCAGGAAATAAAATTCAGTTGATTTAAGAGAAGAACCTTTTTTTTTTTTAGCTTGAACACGGTTTTCTTTTATTTTTATTTATTTATTTTTATATTTATTTATTTTTTATTATACTTTAAATTCTGGGATACATGTGCAGAACGTGCAGGTTTGTTACATAGGTATACACGTGCTATGGTGGTTTGCTGCACCTATCAACCCATCATCTACATTAGGTATTTCTCCTAATGCTATCCCTCCCCTAGCCCCCACTCCCTGACAGGCCCCAGTGTGTGATGTTCCCCTCCCTGTGTCCATGTGTTCTCACTGTTTAACTCCCACTTATGAGTGAGAACATGTGGTGTTTGCTTTTCTGTTCCTGTGTTAGTTTGCTGAGAATGGTGGTTTCCAGCTTTATCCATGTCCCCGCAGAGGACATGAACTCATCCTTTTTTATAGCTGCATAGTATTCCATGGTGTTTATGTACCACATTTTCTTTATCCAGTCTATCATTGATCGGCATTTGGGTTGGTTCCAAGTCTTTGCTATTGTGAAAATTACTGCAATAAACATATGTGTGCATGTGTCTTTATGGTAGAATGATATATAATCCTTTGGGTATATACCCAGTAATGGGATTGCTGAGTTAAATGGTATTTCTAGTTCTAGATCCTTGAGGAATAGCTACACTGTCTTCCACAATGGTAGAACTAATTTACACTCCCACTAACAGTGTAAAAGCGTTCCTATTTCTCGACATCCTCTCCAGCATCTGTTGATTCCTGACTTTTTAATGATTGTGATTGTAACTGGCCTGAGATGGTATCTCATTGTGGTTTTGATTTGCGTATCTCTAATGACCAGTGATGATGAGCATTTTTTCATGTGTCTGTTGGCTGCATAAATGTCTTCTTTGGAGAAGTGCCTGTTCACATCCTTCGCCCACTTTTTGATGGGTTGTTTGTTTTATGCTTGTAAAGTTGATTAAGTTCTTCTAGATTCTGGATATTAGCTTTTTGTCAGATGGATAGATTGCAAAAATGTTCTCCTATTCTGTAGGTTGCCTGTTCACTCTGACGATAGTTTCTTTTGCTGTGCAGAAGCTCTTTAGTTTAATTAGATCTCATTTGTCAATTTTGGCTTTTGTTGCCATTGCTTTTGGTGCTTTAGTTATGAAGTCTGTGCTCATGCCTATGTCCTGAATGGTATTGCCTAGGTTTTCTTCTAGGAATTTTATGGTTTTAGGTCTTACGTTTAAGTCTTTAATCTGTCTTGAGTTAATTTTTGTATAAGGTGTAAGGAAGGGGTCCAGTTTCAGTTTACTGCATATGGCTAGCCTGTTTCCCCGACACCATTTATTAAATAGGGCATCCTTTCCCCGTTGCTTGTTTTTGTCAGGTTTGTCAAAAATCAGATGGATGTAGATGTGTGGTATTATTTCTGAGGCCTCTGTTCTGTTCCATTGTTCTATATATCTGTTTTGGTACCAGTACCATGTTGTTTTGGTTACTGTAGCCTTGTTGTATAGTTTGAAGTCAGGTAGCATGATGTCTTCAGGCTTGTTCTTTTTGCTTAGGATTGTCTTGGCTATATGGGCTATTTTTTGGTTCCATATGAAATTTAAAGTAGTTTTTTTTTTCTAATTCTGTGAAGAAAGTCAATGGTAGCTTGATGGGGATAGCACTGAATCTATAAATTACTTTGGGCAGTATGGCCATTTTCATGATATTCATTCTTCCTTTCCATGAGCATGGCATATTTTTCCTTTGGTTTGTGTCCTCTCTTATTTCCTGGAGCAGTGGTTTGTAGTTCTCCTTGAAGCAGTCCTTCACATCCCTTGTAAGTTGTATTTCTAGATATTTTATTCTCTTTCTAGCAATTGTGAGTGGGAGTTCACTCATGATTTGGCTCTCTGTTTGTCTATTATTGGTGTATAGGAATGCTTGTGATTTTTGCACATTGTTTTTGTGTCCTGAGACTTTGCTGAAGTTGCTAATCAGCTTAAGGAGATTTTGGGCTGAGACAATGGGGTTTTCTAAATATACAATCATGTCATCTGCAAACAGAGACAATTTGACTTCATTTCTTCTTATTTGAATACCCTTTATTTCTTTCTCTTGCCTGATTGCCCTGGCCAGAACTTCCAATACTATGTTGAATAGGAGTGGTGAGAGAGGGCATCCTTGTCTAGTGCTGGTATTCAAAGGAATGCTTCCAGCATTTTCCCATTCAGTATGATATTGGCTGTGGGTTTGCCATAAATAGCTCTTATTATTTTCAGATATGTTCCATTAATACCTAGTTTATTGAGAGTTTTTATCATGAATGGCTGTTGAATTTTCTCAAAGGCCTTTTTGTATCTATTGAGATAATCATGTGGTTTTGTCATTGGTTCTGTTTATGTGATGGGTTATGTTTATTGATTTGCGTATGTTGAACCAGCCTTGCATCCCAGGAATGAAGCCAACTTGATCTTTGTGGATAAGCTTTTTGATGCACTGCTGGATATGGTTTGCCAGTATTTTATTGAGGATTTTCACAATGATGTTCATCAGAGATATTGGCCTGAAATTTTCTTTTTTTTGTTGTGTCTCTGACAAGTTTTAGTATCAGGGTGATGCTGGCCTCATAAAATGAGTTAGCGAAGAGTCCCTTTTTTTCTATTGATTGGAATACTTTCAGAAGGATTGGTACCAGCTCCTCTTTGTGCCTCTGGTAGAATTCGGCTGTGAATCTGTCTTGTCCTGGACTTTTTTTGGTTGGCAGGCTATTATTTACTGCATCAATTTCAGAACTTGTTATTGGTCTATTCAGGGATTCGACTTCATCCTCATTTAGTCTTGGGAGGGTGTGTGTGTCCAGGAATTTATCCATTTCTTCTAGATTTTCTAGTTTATTTGTGTAGGAGTGTTTATGGTATTATCTGATGGTAGTTTGTATCTCTGTGGGATCGGTGGTAATATCCCTTTTATCATTTTTTATTATGTCTATTTGATTATTCTCTATTGTGAGAAGAAACTTTTAATACAAGTTTTTTTAAGGGTGTATATAATGTTAGGAGAACAGAAAAAAATGATAAGGCACCAAGAGCTTTGCAAAAACTGGAGACTGGTTCTCCATTAGGGATGAAGACAGAAATGGAGGAAATTGAGATATGGAAGTCCAGTGAAAGCTGGAAATGTTCAGGGAGCTCTGAAAATGAGTGGTCACAGAAGTTGCACCAAACCATAGAAGAAATGAAGTGTCCAACCTGTCTCCCTTCCTGCTGGTCTATCTCTAGGTAGTGCCTTCCATTGCCTTTCACAAGTATCAACTTCTTGGGGCCACAGTGGAAGCAGAGAGGGCCCATGAATGGATCTGGTGGGCTAGGGAACAAAAAGAGAAAACCAACACACATATGTATTTAAAATATACATATTTGAAATAATATATATTATTGAATAGTGTATTATATATTTAGTAATATATATTATTGAATAATATGTATTGAATAATACATATTATTGAATAATATGTATTGAATAATACATATTATTGAATAATATGTATTGAATAATACATATTATTGAATAATATGTATTGAATAATACATATTATTGAATAATATGTATTGAATAATACATATTATTGAATATGTATTGAATAATACATATTATTGAATAATATGTATTGAATAATACATATTATTGAATAATATGTATTGAATAATACATATTATTGAATAATGTATTATATATTGAATAATATATAATACATATTATTGAATAATGTATTATATATTGAATAATATATAATACATATTTCATATATATATTTAAAATACCAAATATATATATACTTGAAATACATGTATGTATTATTATATTATGTATACACACATATATGTATATGTATATGTACCAAAGAAATTAATAGAGCCTCTGGTAACATTTAAAAATTTTTATTTTAATTACATTTGTCAATCTTGAATGTTTCATGATCATATTATATAGGATTTTTCACTGAATTTATTATGTTTTCTTTTTCTTTTTTTAATTTTTTTTTTCTGGAAAACTTTCTCCTGCAGATTCTTGCCCTATTCATCTAATCTTCTTCACAACATCTAATTTTTTTAAATCTATGGAGTATCTTTTTGAATCACACTGTCCACTTACTTATTACATAATATATTTGTGTGTGTATATATATGTATATATACACACACACACACACAGTTGTATTTCTTGTCATTTATGCATATGTGTTTATTTGTAGTTCTTGTCTTTTCCCATGATTTATGTTTCTTGCAATGTCATTTTTCCCTGTTTAGCTCAATCTATCTAACATGTTGGAGAGTTTGGTAAAAAATTATAGACCCTTGCTTGTTTATATTTTAGAGTGTGGCACCTTAAATGTTGATTGGGAGCTCTAAATATCTGTGTGGTTGGCAAGTGAGCATCACTTTGAAGCTATCCTATGAATTAGACTGACATTCTTAAAGACACCATGCTGGTTGACTTGTAAAATGTTCTACAATGTGTAATTGTTTATATTTTACTTATTATTAGATTCAGGTTAAACATTTTTAGCAGTGATACTGCATATGTGATAGCAGTTTCTGTCATTACCATTACATCAGAAGGCATATAATGTGTGTATGTCCCATTAGTTTGACACCAAATCTGTATTTTTTTTCTAATTAGTCAGCATTTGTTGAGTGATACTTTGAGAACCTCTGAATATCAACTTTTTAATAATTTCACCCAATGCCACAAATAATAACCTTTTCTGGATTAGTTGCTGCATTGGTGGTCAGAAAGCTGTGATTTTCTACCATCATTCCAACTAAATAGTTATTTGGCATTCTTTGGTAAAGAAAAGATTTTCCATTCCAATCTGCTTTTTGTAGCAATGGTTTTGGATTGTTTATTGTTATTATTCAGTATGACATAATTTTTTACGACTATCATCCTTTTGATGCTCAACTTGCCCAAAGTTGACCACTGGAAGCTTCGTCAAGATAATTTCTATCAACTTCCAATCTGTACCCATAAAATTTTTACCACTTCTTTGTTTTGTGGCAGAAATTGTTCCAAGTCCCCTTTTAAGTGATGAGAACTCCTTGTAGACATTTCATGCTAGATCTGGGTGATTGGTGTGCTTTTTGTTACTAGGGTGTCATTGTTTCTAGACGATTTCAGTGGTCAGAGAGAGAAGTATTCTTAAATAAATAATGAATTCATACTGAAGTCTCCAATTCAAATCAAATACCATAGACCCTTCCTCACTCTTTCCCAGTTATTTAAAAATTAATTGTCACTGCATCTAATTGCAGAAAGGGTTTCAGAGAGTAATGGCTGCTGCTTCATTTCTGTCTCTAAATATGCAAATTTTGGAGGGTCAACCTCTAGCAGGAACTACACTGGAAAGGGAATTCTGGAAAATTTAGATCTCTTTCTAACAAAGCTGTGTAAACTAATAAAGTGCATTACTATTTTTCCTTTCCATTTCTGTGGTTTCTGCTGATATCAAGATTGCAATCCTGTCTTTTTATTGTTTGAAATTGCCATGTATACATGTATCATTACTTTCTTTTAATCTTTCTGAATAACATTGCTTTATGTATCTCTCTATACAACAGAACCCAAAACCCAACAGAATTTCATTTTGCTTACAAATTATTTTTAATAGGTATGTTATGGCTGACATAGAATCAACTTTGTCATACTATTTGTTTTATAGTTACCATACATATTGTTGTATTTACTGTGTTTCTTCTATGTTGTCTATTTCCTTTTCTCTTACTGATTTTCACTTTTTATCCTTTTGAAAATGCTTCTCCACTTTTGCTTTGCTTTGTATTTTGTATATTGCTGTTATAAAATCTGATAACATTTGATTTTCTTCCTTTGTAAATGTCTTGGAGGTTCAAACCATATTTTCTTTATCTTAAAGCTGAATTGAGGTACTTCGTTATGTCTCAGAATTGACTGTTCCATGTCAATTTTATGTGGTAAAATTTTTCAATATGTAGATTTTGGTCTTCTTTTGTTTCTGACACATTTCTTGGATTGCATTTATTTCATTGATTTTTCTTTTTTGAAACTCCAATTAATCTTATATTGAGTTTTCTTTGCTTATAGTCTATGTCAAATTTGTTTTCTGATCCTGTATAACTCTTTCTTCACTTTACATTCTCTTAATTTTTATTCTTCTATTGAATTCTTGTTATACTTTTATCAAAGGCTACCTTGAATTCATTGGGATTTTTTTCCTTCTGTTTTGATTTCTTTTTTTCTTATTTTTCTTCTATCCAACTTTTATTTTAGGCTCAAGGTGTACATATGCAGGTTTGTTACATGGTTAAATTGCTTGTCACAAGGGGTTTAGCTTACAGATTATTTTTTCAGCCAGGTAATCAGCATAATACTCAATAGGCAGTTTTTCAATCCTCACTCTTCTTCCACCCTCCACCCTCAAAGAGGCCTCAGTTTCTATTGTTACTTTCTTTGTATCCATGTGTACTCAATGTTTAGCTCCCATTTATATAAGTGAGAACATGAGACATTTGGTTTTCTTTACTATGTTGGTTCACTTAGAAAAGTAGCATCCAGCTCCATCCATGTTGCAGCAAAGACCATGATCTCCAGCGAAGACCATGACCTTTTATAGCTGCATGGTATTCTATAGTGTAATGTACCCCATTTTCTTTATCCAGTCCACTATTAATGGGCATCTAGATTGATTCCATGCCTTTGTTATTGTGAATGATGCGGCGATGAACACAGAATTTATATTCCTTTGGGTATATACCCAGTAATGGAATTGCTAGGTCAAATGGTAGTTCTGTTTTAAGTTTTTTGAGAACTCTCTGGACTGCTTTTCACGGTGCCTGAACTAATTTGCATTCCCATCAGAAGTCTGTAAGTGTTTCTTTTTCTCCACAACCTCACCAGCATGTTATTTTTTGACTTTTTAATAATAGCCATTCTGACTGGTGCGAGATGGTATCTCATTGTGGTATCTTTCATGTTTTTTTCATCTTTCATGTTACTTGTTGCAAGTTTTTGTCCTTTTTTCTGGCTTTTCAAATTTTGTATACCTTTTTATACTTAGAAATATTATTTAAGGATATATAATTCATATTGTGTTTTTGTGCTACATTTTTCATCTTGTTTATGGTTAGTTTGGATGAGAGAATTATTATCAGCTAATATGGTTTTTCTTATTTTCCCATGTGGATATTGGCTGCTGTTACCTATTCATTTTAATTTATGTTGGATTTTCTTGGACCAGGATTGTATTAGTCA